>NC_000015.10:86138247-86289762 GCF_000001405.40 Homo sapiens | reverse complement strand
GGTCCTTATAAGTGAAAGAAGGAGATAAGAAGTCAGAGCCAAAGGAGGAGATGGGATGTAATGGAAAAGGAGGTAAGAGGCATGCAATTTTTGGCTTTGAACGTGGAGGGAGGTACCATGAGCCAAGGAATGGAGGAAATCTGGGTTTACATTCTGGTTGCGTGGATTCTGAAAAAACTGATGTAAATTTTTTATTTAACCTCTTTATGACTCAGTTTTCTCATCTTTAAAAGGCACATAAAAACATCATTACCTATCTCATGCAGTGGTTGCTATAATTTAGTTGTATAATGTATGTGAAGAGCATCTGTTATGTAGGAAACAATAAATGTTAGCTGTTAATGGAGAAGTATAAGTTCAAATATATTATCTTTAAGTAGTAAAAAGAAAGCACTAGTAAAGTTATAAACCCTGAGGATGAAAAAATGAAAGAAATGATGGTCCACATTGCATAAGAAAAAAAGAAAAAGAGACAACAGCGGTGAGGCATGGAAAATAGCATGAAACCAAAATGACAAGTAACAGTAAAAACTGTTTAAGTATAAACAGGCTAGTCAGCCTTAATAATGACAAAAATTTGGATTACTTTTTAAAATCCCACAGCATGTTGTATATAAGAGGCACTTTTAAAGGAGAGAAAGGAAAAAAAATGTGTATGAGAAATGCTCTTAAATTATCTCTTTATTTTGTTTGCCTCTGTTCAAACATTTTAAAGGAGAAATATTGAAACTAAAAGCATAAGCAAACATAAATTAAAGCAAGCATGGCAATAGTAATATACAATGAAGCCATATTCAAGATCAAGTGCATTAAATGGGATTTTAAGATCTTATTTTGATAAAGGGCACAATTCACAATGAACATATAAAACTCATAAATCTTAAGAATCAAATAATATGGGATTCAAATATATAACACAAAAAACAGCAGAAAGAGAAAAAATTCTTCTCGGAGTGGGAGATTTTAAGACAGCACCTCGGTCTTGAATAAATCAATGGCATAAAAATAATAATATAAAGTATTTGAACAATATTGTTTTTGTAGACACATGTCAAACTTTGTCTTTCCAGAGAATATTTTTTAATTTTTTCTCAAATATTCATGGAACTGTAGCAATAATTGATCATACATAGAGCTATTAAAAACTCATTAGATTATTCCCCCAAAAAAGCAGAAATTATACAAATCACATTTTCTGACAATTAAATGAAATTAGACTTAAATAAAAATGGTTTTCGAAACAGCAAAAATAAAATAACCACTAGAGAATAGAAAATAGCCTCTTAAAAGAAGCTTACTGGAAAAAAATTCATAGGTTACAAAAATCAATATTAAATTATTAACTAAAGCCCTGATATAAGAAGTAGACATCTGGGTATCCCACGAGAGATGGCACAGAAGAAGAATGGAAATGTCTCCATCAGAATATCAGTCACGTTTCTAAGTCATCCTGGAAAAGGAAAATTCCAGCTCCTTAGTTAAGAAGGTATGGATAGTGCTGGATTCAGATTATAGTCTCTGTGATCATAAACAAATTATTTTTAAGATTTTTATAAACATTTGAGTGACAGCTGCTCTCAGTATTCTTTATTATCAAAATCTAGACTAAATGTAGCCTGCCTCACAATTACTATCAAGATTCCAAGGCTCTAAAGCCAGAAAGGGAAACTTGGTTGCAGCATTTCCCAAAATATATCCCGTAGTGTGTAAGTGCTGTGGTGTGAACAAGGAGGTGGAGAAGGCAGGAAATTCATAGCCAAAGTGCTTAGAAAATGTTGAGTTAAAGAAAATGAAAATATTTCTGTGGATGCAGGATTCTTCAGATTCTTTAATATTTCAATATGCATTGTGAACTGTTAGAAGAAAAACTAGCACCAGTGCTTCATAAATTTAGATGACCATTAAACTTTTCTTCTCTAAACCTCTCAAGAGACTGAAATGCTATTGAATATGTTTTGGGAAACACTGTCTTGCTGAATTATTTCTATGAGCTCACTCTCTCTCTCTCTTTCTTATTAAATCTGTTTGTTTCACATTTTATTATGACCACATGGGTCCTTGCCAGTGGTGAAGCTTTCTCAACTAAAGCCCAAACATAAACTCAGACACCTATAGTCAATTGATTTTTGACAGAGGTGCCAAAAACATGCAATGGGGAAAGGACAGTTTCTTCAATAAATGGTGTTGGGAAAACTGAATAACCACATGTGGAAGAATGAGAATTGATCCCTTATATAAGAATCAACTCAAAATGGATTAAAGACCTAAGCATAAAACCTGAAACTGTAAAGCTATGAGATGAAAACATAAGGAAAAACCTTCATGACATTAGTCTGGGAAGCGATTTCTTAACTATGACCCCAAGAGCACAGACAAACAAAGCAAAAGTAGACAATAGGATTCCACCAAACTAAAAGGCATCTGCATAGCAAAGGAAACAATTCACAGAGCAAAGAGACAACCCACAAATTGGGAGAAAATATTTGCAAATCATACATCAGATAAGGGGCTAATATCTAAAATATACAAGGAACACCAACTACACAGTAACAAGAAAACAAACAACCTTATAAAAATGGGCAAATGGCCTGAATAGGCATTTCTGAACAGAAGACATACAAATGGCCAACAGATACATAAAAAAATATGTTCAACATCTCTAATCATCAGAGACATGCAAAATAAAACCACAATGAGATACCACTTCACACTTGTTAGATTGGTTATTATCAAAAAGATGAATGATAGCAAGTGCTGGTGAGGATCTGGAACCCTGAACACCATTGGTGGGAATGTAAATTAGTGCAGCTATTTTGGAAAACAGTATGAAGTTTCCTCAAAAAATTAAAAATAGAATTACCATACAATCCAGCCATCTCACTTCTGGGTATATATCCAAAGGAACTGAAATCAGTACATCAAAGAGATATCTGTATACACCCCTATGTTCAGTGCAGCATTATTCACAGGAGCCAAGATATGGAAACGACCACAGTGCGCATTGATGGAGTTTTATATATATATATACACACACAAACACACACACACATATATATACACACACACATATATATATACATACATACACAATGGATTACTATTCAGTCTTAAAAAGCAGGAAATTCTGTCATTTGCAACAACATGGATGACCCTGAAGGACATATGCCAAGTGAAATGCTGGGCGCAGAGAGACAAATAACCACCTGATCTCACTTATACATGAAATATAAAAAAGTCAAACTCATAGAAACAGAGAGTAGAATGGTGGTGACCAGGGCCTGGAGGAGCGGGAACAAGGGGGAGGAATGGAGAGATGTTGGAGAAAGGGTACAAAATTTCAATTAGACAAGAGGAATAACGTCTGGTCATCTATTGCATAGTATAGTAATCATAGCTTATAATAATACACAGAATTATTCCAAAATCCCTAAAAGAGTAATTTTAAGTGTTCTCACCACAAAGAAATGATAAATATGTGAGGTGATAGATACGTTTATTGGTCTGGTTTGATCGATCTGCAACATATTCATTTATCAACACACCCCATTGTACCCTATAAATATAAGCAAGTATTATTTGTCAATTAAAAATGAAACTTTTATAAATAAATTAAAAATAAATAATAAACACAATCTGTAAAAAAAAAGAAAAAGAAAAAAGAGAGAAGGGGGAACAAATAAATGAAAAACAAAAAGCAGTAGTCGTCATTCTGTGATATTACAATTAAGCCATAGCCCTTTGGTGCCTGATATCAAACTTTAAAAAAAAATAAAATCTAGATTTTATAAATCAGATATGCGGAAGCAGGTTAGGCAGAAGGTTGGTCTATAGAAGCCACCAAGCAGTATTAGCTATGAGAGACAAAAAGTCAAAAAGTATCATAGGGCACATGAGCACTGTCCTTCAAAATAGTGTTGGCTGGACAGGCTCCCAAGCAGCAAATGTTGGACGAGGCAAAGCCTGAAAGTTTTCTTCTCTCATGGGTTATCTTTTAATTTGTTATTATTATTATTACATTTTCCACAATAATATTACAAATCAACAAATGCCTAATATTCTCTTAGCTTAAGCTCACTGTATTAGTCCATTCTCATGCTGCTAATAAAGACATACCCGAGACTGGGTCATGTGTAAAGGAAAGAGGTTTAATCGACTCACAGTTCCACGTGGCTGGAGAGGCCTCGCAATCACGGCAGAAGGTGAAAGAACAGCAAAGGCACGTCTTACATGGTGGCAGGCAAGAGGGCATGTGCAAGGGAATTCCTCTTTATAAAATGATCAGATCTCATGAGACTTATTCACTATCATGAGAACAGCATGGGAAAGACCTGCCCCCGTGACTCAATTAATTCCCACGACACGTAAGAATTATGGGACCTAAAATTCAAGATGAGATTTGGGTGGGGACACAGCCAAACCATATTACTCATTTTCTGTAAACTGCAATTTTTCATGGATCCATCTCCCTGCACCCCTCAATGAAATCTCCCTCCTGCTGGACCTGCCATCAGGTCCAGCAAGTATTTAACACTTCTACTTTTAGGGGATTATTTTGACTTCAGTCATATAAAAGATTGCTAGAAGTAAACCAAGTATAAATTTCTGTTGGATTTCCTTTTGCAAAAATGGTTTTGTCCTGTTCTCCTAAAAATGATCTCCCATCTCTGGTCCAGAAAAGTTATGCCTAATTGGATATTGTGGGGATCATTGATGAGAAAAGTAGGACCTCTGAATGCATGTGCCAACTGACTGTAATTACAGCCCTGTGGAAGCCACAGGGGTGGGTTTCTTTATAAAAATGTGAATGAGTTTAAGGCAATTGTAGAAACCCCCAGAGAGACTGACTTCTTAAAAGAAAATCCTGTCTGTGAACAATATCAAGCTGATAACCTTAGCCTGCAGCCTCATCCTGTGTCTCTCCACAGGAGTCCTCAGTCTCCCTTTCCTTTATCAACTACTCCCTTAAAACTTTGATAAAAGACTTCCTTGACCTCAGCAGGGTAACCTGCTGATGGCTACTGATAAAGTGAGAAGCACTATGCACTCAAAAACCATTCATTTTCTATTGTTACCCCCTAAACTGCTGCACTCTCTGTTCCCCTAATTTAGAAGAAAGCCCACTCCTAAGGAGATGGCCTACTTTATTTGTCTACTGCCTAGATCTCAGTTGTCACTTAAATACACTCATCAGAGAATCAAAGACTTCTTATCACAAGAGAAGAACAAATAACACCCTTAAGCTAAATAAAAGGTACAAGAATATGCTACAGGCATGTTCTGATGAGCTTCCTCAAACTGTCCCAGTCTGCCAATATTATGCTCCCCAAGTTAAAGGGACTTAACTTTAAAAATGTGAGAAATGATTAGTCTCTAGATATCTACTCACAGATTTGTCAATTATAAAGAAAGGATGGTTTAATATTCCTTGTCCATTAAAAATAAGCAAAGCTATATTATGATGATTTGGAAAAAAGAGTAAGAAAAAAATAATCATAATCAATTACCCCAAGAAAACCATCAGTAGCCTTTGTAATTTTTGAGGAGGGGTCTTCCATTTGTTTTTTTTTTTTTATTTTAATTTTAGTATGAATTATGGAACGGGTATCTTCCAATCAGTCCAACAGAGAAAATAATCGCACATCATCATAAAAAACAATAAATGCTTTAATGGTTACCATCTAGTATTGCTTACAAGATGTAGACACTTTGCTAAAACTTTCCAATTAGCAATTATTTAATCTTCGAAATAGCCTATGTAGTCACTGCTTTTTTGTTTCCAATTTTACAGATGAGAAAACCGAGGCTAAGAGAAGTTAAATAGCTTGCCTGTGGATACACAGCAAGGAAACACAACACCTAGACTAAAATCTAGGCCTGTCTGACCTCAAAGCTTTCTTTCTTTGTGCCCAAGACCCTGGAATTCAGATGTCCTTGTTGTCAAAGACTGTACCATTCATGCACATATTGGCTTCTTCAGAATGGCTTTCCATGTTCGCCTCTTCAACATCAAGAACCTTTATTGGGGTCTGTCATTTGTTTGGCCTATACAAGGATGGATCTCTGTCTACTGATTACTTGACAGTGCTGATTTATGGCCTGCTCATTGCATCTTCGATATGCCACATGTAAGTCAACATTTCCCACTGGACACTTCTTAAACTCTTCATTTATTCTGAGTCTTTTATAAAATATTGTGCATGTGGCATTCTAATTCCTTTTCTTTTCTTTCTTTCTTTCTTCTTCTTTCTTCCCTCTCTTTCTTCCACCTCCCCCCACCTCCCCATCCCACCCCTGTCTCTGGAGATAACAGTATTCACATCTTTCACAGTGGGTATATGTGTCTGGTAAAAATTCTGCTCTATCCTTTAAGATCCTTAAGCTCCCCCAATACATGGACTCTGCTAATGACCGCTTTTGTTGTCTCTTGTCATTTCATACAGTTATAAGTTCTCAGTGAGATCCCAATTTTTTACCTCCTAAAATATTCATCAGAAACTCTCTTGGGGCCCCATTTTCAACCAATACTACTGGCTACCTAGGGGCTATTTATAACATAATTCTAATACTGTAACGATTATTGCTAACACTTTAACAATCATTACAATTACTGATAACTTGATACGGCTGATTAAAATAGAGCTTTTTTGTTTGCTTCAGAATTACAATAGTATATTTCTTTCTTTTAGCTATATTTGAATGCTATAAAACGAACGATTATCCAACAGACTTGCTGGCAAGCATCTGGAAGATATCCATTTGAAAGAACCAAATACTAATTTCCTTATTATAAGAGAATAAAAAAATTTTGAGAGTTTCAAAATTGTAGTCACGTTGAAAAACATTCAACATACAAGTCCTATGCTATAAAAATGTCTGTAATTACTAAATGTAATCCATATTATAGGAGACTCGCAAATTATGAATTCCACATGGAAACGTATTTTCTACCCCTCAGCATAACCCCCAAGTAACATACAGTTAATTCTCCCCTTGGGGTATCATTCGCATTTAATTTATCACTGATCTGTTGGAAGAAAAACCGTTTCTCCTCAGGACATGTCCAAAAACAAAAATGACTGGTTAGCATTACAGAATGTACTCATTTTGTCCATGATGGGAGGAAGTTTTTTTTAAGAGAAGTCACAGAGTCAATTATTGTCTTAAACCTAGAGAGGACAAAGACCATGAGTTATTGGAAATGTAAAACCTAAAATTGAGAATACACATTTGTCACTTTTAAGTAACAAATTGTCTTTCTAACCCTGTTTTGTTCATTTAGGAGAAATAAGTTATCCCTCTTTCTCATTAACTCTCCACAAACTTCCCTGGAGGAAGACATTCACAGTCAGTAGGCTCAAAAGTAACAATAAAAAGTCGTAAGTAGTTATAACTTATTGTAATTAATAGTAACAGTAATAGTTATTAATATTGTTAACAGTAACAAGCCAATAAGCATCAATTAACAAGGCCTCTCTTTCCCTCTCAGTGAAACTTAGTGACTGGTGGAGAGAGGGGGGTCCTCTTTTTTGTGTGTTTTGTTTCCCTTTAACATGAAATCTTCTCCTCATTGACCCCCCACCCAGTGGTTCTTAGAGTTATTTATCAATTGCAAATTTTAGACCCTGTATTCTTATCTGAAACTGTGCCCAGAAGGTAAGCAGGCCCAGAGGCACAAGGTAAACAACTAGGTACCATCAAGTCAAGGCCAGGTTGAAAGGGGTACACAATTTGAATCAGTGTGTAGGCACCTAGCAAGAATCCATTGGAGCATCTTGGGGTAAGAATTAGACCATGTTTGGAAAGAGATATTATCCCTCAGCTGAACCACATCCACGGCACTCAGCATTAAAGATAAAAACTGTGGGCTGGTGGTTTGAATTCAAACATTAGAGATGTCTGTATCATCACACAATGATGACTACATGGACTCATAAAACGACTGCATGTTTTAGCAGCTTGTGAATGTAATGGCAAGCAATGACACTAATCTGACCCCAGGGCAGAAATTCTGAATTTCTTCTACACTTTTCTACAGGGGAGTAGAAAGACCACAGGAATACACCTCAAGGGCTGATGTTCTGTTCCTGCATGGCTGCTAGCTAAATGTGGGACTTCCGGTCTCAGTTCTTGCATCTATAAACGTTAAGGGTGAATTAGACAACTTCACCCAACCCCTTTGCATTCTAATGTTTTATATGAATGGCCACCAGGAACCTTATCAGAGTCCAAGATATTCTAACAAGCAAAAAGAACAGTGTCCTAGATCCATGATCACTTACCCAATGGGAAAGGCAAACACATAACACGTATTTTAAAAGGAATCCCCATCCCTAGCAGACTTTTTTTTTCTTTTCTGGTTTCTGCTTTTGGTTTTGTTTTTTAGATAGGGTCTCCCTTGGTTGCCCACGATGGAATGCAGTTGTGTGATCCTGGCTCACTGCAGCCTCAACCTCCTGAGCCCAAGTGATCCTCCAACTCAGCCTCCCAAGTAGCTGGGTCTATGGGTGCATGCCACCAGGCCTGGCTAATTTTTGTATTTTTTGTAGAGATGGTGGTTTCACCATGCTGCCCAGGCTGGTCTCGAACTCTGGGCTCAAGCAATCCTCTCATCTTGGCCTCCCAAAGTGCTGGGATTACAGGAGTGAGCCACTGTGCCCAGCCCACAGTAGACTTTTCATGTGCAGTGTTTCACAGGCAAGACCATAAAAACAGCTGTTGAAGGGAGATGAATGTTGCCTGTTCTGTGTCCCTAAAGGCAACAAAACATGTTTTATAACAAATGTGGCTTGTTACAGCCTAGCTTGCAACGCACATTACTTGGATTAACTTCTTGAGCTCTCTAAGTGTGATACACAAATAATACTAGTTGTGTATTTTTTGCAATCTGGAAAACAGTAAAAATCTCTCTTTAGGCAAGACAACATATGGAGAAGAGGACAGATGCACTTTCATGAAGCAGTGAGCCAAGTGGTTCAAGATATGCCTTCTCTATGCGAAAAATTCACATTTATACCTGCACATTCCTTTTGAAGGAAAAGATGTTCTTGGTTATTATCTTTTCCAAGTCCTTATCACAGCCTTAAAATGAAAATGCTCATCCTTCAGGCTAAGTGATACATATACCCATATACACACATATGATTATAAATATGCTAATAACATTTTACATTAACATAGAGGATGAAAGTGCTTTATAGAAGATACTGGAGTTCATTTATCCTCAGGATATCCACGAAATGGTAGCAGTAAGGGTTAGTTTGCCAGCTTTTTCAAATGACAGAAAGCTGCATGGTTTAAGCAGTCCATTTTCTCACAATTGTCTTGTGAACTTTTTGCAGGGCCTTATGGTACACAGGAATGCTAACTGTGAGTCTGCACTGACTTCTTCTACTCTCCCTCATAAAAAGATTGTGGCTGTCTGTTGCAATGATCTAGTGTTTTATTCTTACACTTTTCTCTTCCACCCTGGATCCTTCTAGCCACCTCCAGCTCATGGTCATTGGAACCACTGGAGATGCTGGCGTGGCTACTTGCACACAGACTCAGAAGTTTCCCAAGATCTACCTTCCTGCTTTCTCCATTCCTCTGAATGACTGAATTTTCTTCAGATTTGCATCTCAGCTTACTTGTATGGTGTTGCTCCCCATACAACTCCAACCTACTTCATACTTAACTTGACTTTTTAAAGACAGAGTCTCTTAAGAAATGCCCCCATGTCCTGCCCCAACTTGCAGACCACTTGGGCCTTTGGAATGTCACTGATCAAGGCTCAGCCTTGTGCTCTGTCCAGGGAAGGAGATGGGACAATTAGAAAGCACCAAGTCAGTAACAACAAAACCTGGCTCCTTTAGGAAGGCTGTAGTTCCCCTACATTCCCCTCTGCACCCCATCAGGATGTCAGGGTCTCCAAAATGTTCCCAGGAAAACCTCAGAGAGCCCCTTCAGTCCTGCTGGAGTGATGCTATAAAGAGGAAGTTACCATGAGGGCTGTGTAGGTATAGGGATAGTGGTAGGCCAGGTAGCAGACATCCTCACTGTGTGGGAAGGTGACAGCAAAGGTGAGGGTATAGTAGCACTTCCCAGATGCTCCGCCTGCAACAGCTGTACTCTGGCGATAATGATTTCTAAAGAGAGAGGAGGAGAAGAGAAGAGAATAAGGGAGAGGTGGGAGGGGGGTGCAGGGTCATTTAGGGTCCTAGATGCTATAAATCTTGTGCGTTATATACTGTCCTGGCACAATGGCCTTCACTTGAAACATTTCTGTGGGTGAAACTGAGAAAAGGGAAATGTACAAGTAAACTTACTGCCAGTTCATGAGTCAGTTCAGCAACATGTAGCCTGGCCCATCTGCCTCCCAATTGTGCCGTATATGCTACCGACCTTTCCTTGCTGTCTGAAAATGAGGGCTATATAGTCACTGAGCTAGAACATCGAGGAAAATCTGAACAGTTCTGTTTTTCTTGGGTTTCAATTGGAGACATAAACTTTATCACCCAAATTTGGGTTCCCCCAATCCCTATCTCTCCCCAGACCACATAGGATTCAACTCCTTCCTTTCCGCTCCACCTGCCAAGTAGATTTATTAGCAATCACATGATATATGGAGTTCCAATTCAACATTTAACATATGTCATCTTATGTTATTATTGCAGCAACCCATCATGTGGATGATGAAACAAAAGCTTAGAAAAGTTAATTTGCCAAAGGGCTCAAAGCTAAATGGTAGATACAAGACTGAGACCCAGATCTCTCTGGCTGCAAAGGCTTTGTTCTTTCCACTGTACAATACTTTCTTCCCAAAGGAATATATTTGTCACCTCAAATGTGGTTCAGCTTCGTAAGGCTTGAGAGTGCACATTTTCCTTTGTCAAAGATGAAGAACCAATTTTGATACTTCAGAGAACAGTATCAAAGAAAATTGCTCCCAGAAGTCCATTCCGAGCAATATTTTCCCCACACGCTGCCAACTGATGCTGAGACAGCTGCACAGGCTTTCCTGAGAAATGTTATCATCAAGGCTGCATTATAATGCAAAATACACCCGGACACCAAGATGTAATTCCACCTTTGAACATTTAGAACGTTGGCTTACTAGTCCATTGTGCTTTTGGTTTTACTGGGGGAAAGGGAAGGGGAAGGGAAGAAATAGTAGGTAATTATTCTTGTGTGTTCTTGAAAAATAAAACAAACATGGGTTATTCTTTTCTACCTTTTTGCTACTTTCATGCCACTCCCTACCTAAGCAAAAAGTAAGCATGGAAGAAAGAGATAGAAAATCTGTTTTTTTATTTCTCATGGTTTTGTGGCTTTTCAATATTTATACACCTCGGAATGGGACTAAGGGAAGCTGGTAGCCCACTGACTATGGCCTGATACCTTTATCTTCCTTCCCTCAGCTTCTGCCAACATGGCAATCTGGAGCCTTGGTCATGCTAGGGAAAGGAGGGTACCCTGTAACAACATAAGCCCCCAGTGGCTGTCACACCCAGGTTTTTGGCATTGTATTAATAGAATCCGTTTCCTTTATGCCCACAGAAATAGAAATTTTAAAATAGTGTCTTCCCACATGGTGTGATATGGATCGCAATGGCTAATTAGGTCTACTTTGCCAGATTGCCCCAAAGTTCTGAAGCTTCTCCAAAAGCTATGACTCTGGTTATTAGAAAGTACGTAAAGAAGCAGATGGTAGCTCGGAAAGCATGCAAGTTACATATGCTCTACCTCTTATTTGCTTTCTGATTTCCCTTGTAAAGCCTCCGTGCAAACATACACTCAGTTTACACCTTGCTGAACAACAAATGCTAGTCAATTACTCCTCTTTACGGGAAACAGCAGTTGAAATAAAATGATCCAGGGATAACCAATCAAAGCGTGGAAGAGTGCTTCACTTGTAAGCACATATGTGTGAGTGCACACACAGATGTGCATGTATTCATGAATGTAAAGGCAGATGGAAACACGCACCTTGTGCCTCACTGTCCCCAGTTCTTCACCTACAAATGGTGGAGACAGAGCCTGTATCTTGACTCAAAAATAATAGGTGTCCCGAAGGGCCAGTAGGGTTGGTCTTATTTGGCATGGGCCTTGCTTCTTTTTAGGTTCCCCACTGCACTATTAGTACACTAAAGTCACATCACAAGCACATTTAGCCTATGCAAACTCAACCTCACCACATTCAACCACAGGAGACAGCAAGAAAGAGAGAGAAAAAATAAAATCCATGTATTTATCTCTATGTTCTTTCCCTCATTCAGGCAAAACCTGGACTCCAAGGAAAAAACAGCTGCAGTGAAATGGAAAGAGAAATAAAATGGGCTAATCCTTAGCTCTTGAGCTTCCATGGGCTCAAGATTTAAGGGAAGTGTAAGGAATTCAAATGGTAGTTCTGACTATGTCAAATCTGTCTTCTCACACCACCAACATACACACACACACACACACACATACACACACACACATGCACACACACACACTCTCTCTCTCTCTCCTAACATGCTACCCCCCATAGCTTGGTGATATTAGATTCTCCCGAGCAAGACTAAAGGCTCCCCACCAACAAGTCAGCCTTCTCCAGGATGGTTGCACACTGCTGGAATTCCAAAAAAAAAAAAAAAATCTTATTATAAACACCTTATTTAGAATGACTTTCAGCTAAAAGAAATTCAGTTACAACCCTTGTCTGGGGTCTAAACTCTGGCTGAACCTAAAGCAAATGTCAGGCATCCCCACTGGACTCTCCTGGCAGCCACCTTGTAGCAGGAGTTGTCCAGGAGATGACTCTGCTTCCAGCACACCTTCCTCTGCAGAGGCCTTTAAACTTTCCCAGGACCTTCAAAGCCAAATGTTTGATAAATCTCTAAAGTGAAACACCTGGCTTGCTACAGTTCAGTTCATCCATGATAAACTGAGATCCCATCAACAAGTTCTTTTCGTTTCCCAGTTATGATGTGGACATATCGAGTGATGTTTGCAAGAAGCAATGTTCATCCTTCCTATGTTAAATTGTTCCCATGTTCTTGCTTTGTATGGAAAGCCCTTTCCATCTTCCTTATTTAGCTAAGTCTTCTTCACTCCTCAAGATTTAACTCAAGTGTTTCCTCTTTCAGGAAGCCTGCCCTGATAGCCCCCTTATCACTCCTATTCTCATGGCCAATACTTTATGGCAAGGACCATGCTTATTCATCTGTTTATCTTTATGCTTCCCACCTTGCCTGGACATAGCAGCTGTTCAGTTAAAGTTTGTATAATACACGGACCCAAGACTCCAGGAGTAATAATTAGGTTGTTCAATGTATTATCTCCAATTCTAATGACATCCTTTCAAGGTGAGTATTATTACACACATTCTACACATGGGAATTAAGGCTCACAGAGGTTAAGTGTCTAGAGCAATTCCACACAACAAGTATAGTAAACAGGATTCAACCCCAGTTGTAGGCTTAGCTCAGAAACTAAAATTTTTTTATTATATCATCTGCTTCTTAGGAATGGGTTAAAAAGGACAAGATGTCTTATGCCCAAGGTAGCAAGTAAGAATCTGAAGTTTTGATCTTCATAAATCAGAGCTGCCTATGAACTTACAGTCTAAAATAATAGAAAAAAATGTAAAATAATCAAGATGAGAGCTAATAAAATGATCCATATACTATGACTTTTATATCATTGGTATTTGATGCCACTAAGATGTTTTTACTAATTATTAAAAATAATTGCTAGCATTCATTGAACACCTACTATGCACTAGACACTGTTCTAACCTTTACACGTGTTTTATCTCATGTTATTTTATCTTCAGAACACTTCTATTAGGTAGATACCATTATTATCCCATTTTAAGATGAAGAATCTGAAAGAAGTTGGTATAATTTGCCCAAGGTCACGCCATTAATGAGTGGTGGAAGTTTGAGTCAAAGAACTTCCTCTCCTCAATCTGTTCATCTAGATGGAGAAGCAGCCTGGTGAAAATCAGGAGTGATCTTGAAGATTAGCTGGATCCTATTGGTCATCTGGGGTCAAAAATGACCTGGGCTGGGTACATCCAGCAACTTCACAGCTAAAAGGCTTTTTGTTTGCCTTTCCATTGCCTGAACCATTTATCTTTGGAAGGATCTGCACTTTTATAATCATAAAGACTTCAATGAAGCAAGGAGCAAGTACACAAAGGCATAGTTACGAACTCAGGTTATTTCCATTTGTACTTAAAAATATGCTGGAAAGTCATTGTTTCTTTTCAGCAGGGTGCATAAAATAAGCAAATGCCATGATGGAGAATGGATTAGATAATCTTATAATGACAATGGCTCTGTTTAACAAGGGTGTATCATTTCATTTAACAGGATCTAATAAGGCAGAGCAGTGAAGTTGCCAGACTTCCCTGTGTCTGCAGCATTTCTAATATTCTATATAATACCAGATCTCTCTCTTGAGATCCCATGGAAGGATGCATGATGGCAGAGCTCTTGTATGACATTCATCTTCATGAGTGAGCTGTTCCATCTCCTCTCACGAGCGGAGATAAATGTCAGAAGAGATCAGCCGTTGTGTATTACATGGCCACTCTAAGCGCACAGCTTCCCTCCCTCTGCCCTTCAGCACCAAAATTACTTTAGACCAGAGCTGGGAGAGAATTCAAAAAGGTGTGTGGCTGTGCACATCAGAGGAAGAAGCAGACCACAGGGAACTAAATAAAAAAAGAAACTAAAAGGGCCCTTGCTTACTTTTACGAGAGGCAGGGAAAAATGAATCTGCCCATTTCTGTTCCTCCCTCTCGAGGGGCATTTTTTATTTTCCAGCCTAGTGGTCATCAAGGTGGGGAAGAGCAGGAGGTGGAATAGAAGGGGTGGGAGGTGCTCCAGGGGAGGGGCAGGGTGATCAACTGACCACAGGCAGAAAATATTAGAATTTCTCCTTAAAATGATTATTATCTAGATAGTAAGAAAGAAATTAAGTTGTCTACTATTTAATATGGGGATTGGCATGGCTGTCTCGATGTCAGCCTAATGTGGTGGGTAATTATAAAACAAACTAGATGATGGTACAGCAATCTTATCCACTCATCACTGTCGTATTCCAGGGCTGGAGTATGAAAAACACATTATATTCTGCATCTACGGTTTTTATATGTTAGTTAAGCATCGATTGTTGCATGGGAGAGGTCTCCAAAGGGAGAAGTGGGAACAGCTAGCTCCCCTCCTTTTTCTTTTGCTTTTAGCTTCCGGCAAGGTATTTAAGTTTACAGAAGCTTACTTTCATTTACAGATTGTATTACCTAAATTAAACTAAACCTCACAAACTAGACAATTACTTTTTAAAGAAAAATCTTCTTAGAAGCCATCTATTGATGATAAAATTAAATTGCAATCAAAATGACCATAAAATGGCAGAATGGACATAGCCTACCCCTACCCTTAATATTAGGTCTTTCTCGGTAATTCTCATTTTTGTTAAAATAATCTAATCAGATCTAGAAAGTTAATCAAAATTTCTCAAAATTACCAAAAAGACTATTTATAACTACATCTAATGGTAAACTCCACAACAAAATTCTAGTGTGCCCTAAGCTATAAATAGCATAAAGATGTAACAATTAGGTAGATATAAACTATTATTTATTTCATCTTTTTTTCCTAATTTAAAACTCTTCATTTTTTACATGCTTTCTTAGGTGCATAATATATTAGTATAGTAATGCATATACACTTTTTTAAATGTATAAACTAATCTGGTAAGAACACATACAAATATATCTTATTGATTAGTGGCACATTGTCAAAATAGTTTGGAGACTATTTGATGACGATTGGCCCTACAGAGTAGTCAGCCCATGTCCTTAACTGCTCATCATTGCTGTCAACTTCAACTTCTGAAAGAAAATGCAAATGCAAATCCCATTTCTTCTGAGTCTCCTTTTTCCTTTCACCCTTCTATAAACATACTCAGGTACCACGGCTCACAGTTGTCCCCACAGTGAGCACCCTGGCATCCTCTTAAAACATGGCACCAAATCTGGGACTTTAACAGCATAATAGAAATAGAGCAGAGTATCTAAAGATATATTGGAGACAAGGAAATAGGGAAGTAAAGTTCTCCCAAATTAATATACCAGAGATAATAAAGGCAGGAGAGAAGCAAAGAACTCTTCTAAAGCAAATCAACTCAAAAATCAGGATAGGTAAATAGGGAGAGAGATATTGCATAATCTAAGGCATCATTTTACAATTGAGAGAGGCGTTCTAATTTGTGGGTGAATAGAGATTACACATATCTACCCTGTTGTTACATCACAGTATTGGGAATATGTTAACACAACGTGGTGAATAATTATAAAACAAACTACATTACAATGTAGCAATCTTATCCATTCATCTCTGTTGTATTCATGGCTGGAATATGAAAAATGAATTATATTATACATTCATGGTTTTTTTCTTATCCCTCTGTTGCTCTTTAATCACATAGTAATTGTCTTGCTAATAGCTCTAAAAGCTATCAGCATTGGTTCTCCTTAGGTCAAGGCTGTGCTTTTGAAAGTGTGGCTTCTTCCCTCTTGTGGGAAATACGTGGTCCCCTTAGCCTTCTTACTCCCCAATTCCAAGAGGAGCATCCTCAACTGGAATTTATATATCCCATTAGGAAATGTTATGTTTGTCCAATCTGTTACTAACTTTCAGGTCCAAGCCAGCTCTAAGCTGGGTCTTTCAGATTTACTGAGAATAACTATTTTCAGAGAAAACTAAAAGTCATTCTTGACACACCAAGGTCCAAAAGTAGGTTTTCATTTTTTTTTCCTGCAGTTACAGACTATCACCTTGAGGTGATTTTTAATCTAAATCTCTCTGAACCGTAGGAAAGGCCCTAAGAGTCTTAAGATAGGTGAGCCAGAGAGTAGTTGCCATTTAGGTGAATGGAAAACCAACAAAGTCATAATATTGTGCAATTTTTCTAAAGGATATAAAAAAATCCTCTTTAGATTCATATCCTAATAGATCAGGGATTGAATACCTCCAACTCTTTTATTACAGGCTAGTCAGCCTGGCTCTGTGTCTTATAGACTGTCATTATCTCCATGGTGATTTTTGCCTTTGTATCTGATACAGCAACAAGATTCTTGACCTTTCCCATCTATCAATACTCCTATCTTCAAAGTCTCAAAAGCCAAGAGGCATAAGGGTATATACTCTGTTTCTTTTCCACAGTGACAACTATCCCAAACTCTAGAATGTCTGATCATACTTTTTTAGAGGCCGCTAGTAATTTCAGAAAGAGATGAAACTTACTTTATTTAAGAAAGTAAGTACTAGTCTCTCAGTTTTTAAAAGAAACTAGCACTGAACTAATAATTAATTATATATATTCTACCTCTCATAGCAATCCCTATCCTTATTTTCTTATAAATTTGAATTTTATTTTTCATCTGAAGAAAATGTACATATAAGCAATCTAGATGGCTGGAATGCATTTCTTTCATCAAAATATATGGACAATTTAAAGTTCATTATAACTTTGCAGGATAAACTGATGAAACTGGCGACTGATCAAGGATTGAAGATGAATTTTGAAACTCCTCCCTCTTTTATTTTTTTCCACAAAATTACCTTGCTATGGGGAGGAGTTACTTATGTGTAATTGTCACATATTCACCCTCCTGTACTTTGGAAAACTAAACCACGGGGTGGATAGAAACAGGATAGAACATCTCAGACATTTCACTCTCTGGGTTCAGCGGAAATAAGTAAAGAACTAAGGCTTGACACACTAATCACAGGTAGAATCTCTATGACTTCTAATATCTGACAACAAGATCTAAAAGTTTTAATGTGTTTAAATGAAGATAAACTCTTTCAGCCAATCAAAAGGTATTTCTCGAGGTCTACTGTGCGTGCCAGTGAATATGCTTATATCTCTGAAGGGCCGGACACTGGCCATTAGGACAGAGTGACAAAAAGTTTAGCAGACAAGCACAGATTGCTGATGTTTATAAGATCAATATGGAAAAGTGGGAAATTGAGAGAAAATTACAGGACAGAGAAAAGGAAGCTAACAGCGCTCTAACTTACTTGTAATAACATATTTCATGGCCTGTCCTTATCCAGGTGGGTTTGCCAAGAAGAGCCTCCTTCACAGAATATAGGGTGGGCTGCATCCCTACACAAAATCAGAAAGGAATTAATCCATGAGGGAAAGAGAGTTGTTCTGGGCCAAATAATGACCCCCACATACACATAGGTCTTAATCCCTGGAAACTGTGACTGTTAACTATATATCGCCAAAGAGATTTGCAGATATGATTAAGTTAAGGATCTTGAGATGGGGTGATTATCCTGGTGAGCCCTAAATGCAATCATAAATATCCTTGTGAAAGGGAGGTAGAGGGAGGTTTGACTATAGAAGAGATGCAACGTGGCCAGGCATGGTGGCTCATGCCTGTAATACCAGCACTTTGGGAGGCTGAGGCCAGCAGATCACAAGGTCAGGAGATCAAGACCATCCTGACTAACATGGTGAAACTCCATCTCTACTAAAAACACAACACGGCTACTAAAAAATTAGCCGGGCATGGTGGCACATGCCTGTAGTCCCAGCTACTTGGGAGGCTGAGGCAGGAGAATCGCTTGAACCCGGGAGGCGGAGGTTGCAGTGAGCGGAGATCACACCACTGCACTCCAGCCTAGGTGACAGAGCGAGACTCTGTCTCGCCAAAAAAAAAAAAAAAAAAAAAATGCAACGTGACTGAAGCAGAGAGAGATTTCAAGATGCAACACTACTAGCTTTGAGGATGCAAGAAGGGGCCATCAGCCAAGGAATGCAGAGAATGCTACTCTAGAAGCTGGGAAAGGAAAGGAAATGGAGTTTCCCCTGGAATCCTCAGAGGAAACATGGTTCTCCCAACACCTTGGCTTCAGCCTAGAGAAACTGATGTTGGACTTCTGAACCCCAGAACTGTAAGAGAACAGATTTGTCTTGTTTTCAACCACCAAGTTTGTGACAATTTGTTACAATAGCCATACAAAGTGAATATAAATGTCAAGGTTCATATTTTCTCTTCTCATACCCACAGGAATCTGTTTAGTCACTACAAAATAGAGACAGTACCCTGCACTTGGACCTAGACACCTGGGAATACTTCTTCCTCATTCAAAGCCACCCAGCAAGTTAGTATATGATGCAGCAGTTGTATGCAGAATTTCCATTCCTCAAAACATTTGAAATAAATACAGCCTGCTCGTCAGCCTTTCTCTCTTGAATATCTCCTCCAAAATGGCCACGGGTATTCAGGAGAATTTAAACTTCTTCAAGAGCTTTCTAAGAATGTAAATCAGTGTTGTCCAATTGGATTTTGTTGTTCCTCTACCTTGCAGGAAAAAAAGCAGGTCAAAGCATTTGCTCCTATGGGACTTAGGAGATGGAGAGAAGGAATAAATGAGAACGCTCACCAACCTCAAAAAGTTCAAGGTAGAGCGAGGGAATCCAGAAGCAGTGGATGTCAATGTGTGGCAGAGTGAGGGTGCCCAGCCTCCCCTCTAAAGTAGCAGTGTGCCACTGAGGGCCACTGCCTGCCTTGCTGCACCTGGCAACCCAAAACTCTGCCCAACTTCAAACCCTCTGAACCCAAGCAAAGGCTCTTTGAATCCAAACAGTCAAGAAATGTCATTCCTGGCATGTTCCAGAAAGCCCCTGCTCCCCAAGCGTTCATACCATAATTAAACTGGCTGTTGGGCTTCTCACAGTTGATGATGTTGAAGTGGTAAGGGATGGCCGCCTGCATACCGCTCACTTTGAAATAGAACCACTGCTGGTGCTGGGTGCTATTCACATCTGCGTTGACCAGCAAGTCATACTCGAACCTGCAGATCAGAAGCAAGACTGGAGGGTTATCTGGAAAGTCTTTCAGGTAAACTTCAGACACTAAGAATCTACACGTTTCAGTTTCTGGGTTACAGATCTAAGACCCAGGATCTCAGCCAGCTGGTAAGTTATACTTATCATCCTGATACCACAATATTGGGTACAGATTTTGGAAATTCATGGAGGTGAGGGGGCTTCCTAGTATTACAAGAGTCAATTACACAATAGCGCATATTTTTAAATTTTTTTAAACTATTATGGATACACAATAGTTGTATTTATTTATGGGGTACATGTGATATTTTGATACAATAATACAATGTGTAATGATCAAATCAGGGTAATTGAAATGTCTATCACCTAAGCATTTAACACTTTTTGGGTTAAGAACATTCCAATTCTAGTCTTTTTACTATTTTGAAATATTAGCACACCTTTTTATTAAACTATAATGAAGTTTTTATCTAGCTAGAAAAAATGCAAGTGTGCTATATACCAGAGAAAATTCAATCACATCTGGTTTGGATATGCCATTGCTATTTGAGATCAACGTTACTTTTGAGCCTCAATTTCCACATACGGAAAATGGAAGTGTCTAAACTTGAGGTGCTGTTTATAAAAATCAAATAACCTAGTAAATATACATCCCCCAGCAAAACAACAAACATGAATTAGGCTAGCAATGCAGGGGTTGTTTCATTTTCATTGTGATATAACTCCCATGCTATAAAATACACACATCTTAAATATACAGCTCCATGAATTTATCTACATCTGAAACCACTTGTGTGACTACTACCCAGATATAGGACATTTCCAGCACCCCAGGAGGCCCTCAGGGATCCTCTCCCCATCACTATATATCTCCAAAGATTATTATTTTTCTGATCTCTAGCAACAGAACTAGCAATGCAGTTTTGACTTAAACATTATCAGGATATTTCATTTTTAAAAATGTTGCTCCATCCTCTTGGTATTCTCTTTGCATTGCTCTTATGAAAAGGAAAATGTTTTTGCCCCAATCCATTCATACTCTCCCACACTGGACCCCTGGTAAATGGCATTGTGTGAGATTTATGAAACGCTGAGCTTGGTATAAGACAGATGAGAGCAGAGTAGAGCTATCTGATGGAGTCTAGTCCTCACACTGTCTCTGTGGGCACCACACTCTAACCACTGGGCTCACCACACAACACATGACACATAACCCCATGGAGTGGCACTCACAAGAACAATTCTGGAAAGTCTATGACCCTCAAATTGTCTGCTATTCCCACAGTGCTCTCTCCAAAAAGTAATCATAAAAAATTCCTTACCCATAAGTAGGTTTGTTTCTGCTATTTGACTCTATTACCCTGACCATAACTGATGAATTTAGGATTTTAGACTCTGGTCCAAGGGAAATGTATAGAGAAAAAGACCTGAGCCGGGCCAGCAGCTTAGCCGCATCCTGATCTGATAACTGTTCCACCAGGAGACTCATAATCAGGTCTCCTTTCCTGGATCCTTTGAACATGATATCTGGAGAGAAGAAATAGTAAAAGCAGGAGCCACAGGAAGAAGTGGAAACTAAGCCAACAACACAAAGAGGGCTGAGAAAGAGTCTTGACATGACTGTCTTTCCCGTCTTCAGCCTGATTAAACTGGTCTCTGTTTTATTTGTTGGGCTTCCTTGAAATATTTTATGTACAAAAAAAAAAATCACCCTTCACCTCCCCCAAAGAGGAAGAACTTCAAAAATGAATCATCAGGTGGATATGAGGGAGGTCTCAGCTATACTGAATTCTGAGCTCCAACAATGGCGAATATGCATCCCTGAGTAAGAACGGATGTTGACTAAGTGCTGACCATGCGCCAGGTACTACTCTAAGAGACTTAAGTGTATTACTTAGCTCTCATGAAATCCCAAAGTAGTAGGTGCGATTATTGTTCTCATTTTGTGAGTGAGGAAATAAAGGCATGAAGTGAGTTAGGAAACTTGCTCAGTCTCCTGGTTGGAAGGTGATGAAGTTACCCTGGCACTCTGATTCTGATGTCTGTCTATGGCCACCACACCATTATCTGTTCTGGACTGTTTTTTCAGAAGTTCACCTATAGAAGATGAATCATGTATCTTGCCTTTTGGTATATGGGAAATATATCCACACTGCTATAATAGAAAGAATTTTAACATAGTGAGAACCGCGGTCTCTTCTGACACTGAAAAAGAAGTAAAATTCATTTGTGTTTTATTTCCTTTCTTTTAGTTTGTACAGCCCTAGGCTTTCCTTGGCTAGGATATCCTTTTCTACTGAGAGCTCATCTGTAGGTTCTGCTAGAGAGGCATGGTACTGCATCTTCCCTTGAATGCAGGATGGTTCACCTTTCTCTGGGAAGCTCATGATTTTTGCCACCTAAGTACACAGGAATGAGAGCAACAGGCATAGAGAAGTGCAGGAATAGCAAGCCCATGTACCCTTCCCTTCAACAGAATCAGCCTTGGCATCAAAGTATAAACATCCCAGTCAAAGTGCTCTCACACCGAAATATGGACCCATTATTTGAAACACAAGACACATTAATAACAGTTCACTTCTACTGAATGGCTCACTTAGCTATGATATCAGTGTAGCTATGATATCAGTACACTTAGTGGTGTACTGGTAAATGTTTAACAAATGACTCTCTGAAAGGAAAAACCTTCACTCGTACTGTTTGCCAATTTTTATGATATAAATATTCCCACCATGGCTGATTTCAAGCCACCAATGCAAGGTCACTGAACAGAGCATGGGGAAGAGATAGTCACAGCTTGCTCTTACGAACTGACAGGAGACACCCACTGTGGTTTTCCTTACTTACTCACGCACTTGGATGGCTTTGCGAAGATTTCCTGACTCAAATTTGGAGAAGAACCGTAAACAATTGGAAGCATTGTCTTGCAAAGGCCTACAATGAAATAAGGAACATGTGAACATATGTGTTATCACTACTCTTTGAAAACAGTGTGATGATTCTTTTTTTCATTATTATTTTTTTGAGACAGAATCTCACTCTGTTGCCCAGGCTGGAGTGCAGGGCGGGATGTCAGCTCACTGCAACCTCCGCCTCCCAGGTTCAAGCGCTTCTCCTGCCTCAGCCTCCCGAGTAGCGGGACTACAGGCACCCGCCACCATACCCAGTTAATTTTTTGTATTTTTAGTAGAGACAGAGTTTCACCATGTTAGCCAGAATGGTCTCCATCTCCTGAACTCACGATCCACCTGCCTCGGGCTCCCAAAGTGCTGGGATTACAGGCGTGAGCCACTGCGCCTGGCCGATGATTCTTAAAGCTAAGCTTTCTCTTATAGATCTTTAACCTGGATTTTCATCATGCTGTTTTAGGAGGAGGAGTGGATTATTAACAGGAAACATGTCTATTCTCATGCCATTAAGAGAATTCTCCATGCCCCACCTTCCTCAGATGCACGAGACTACCTACCAAGGCTCATCTAAACTGAAGACAACTTTATTTATAACATCACTTGGCTGGATGAGCCTCCGAATATCCTCAAATATCCTGATCCTGAAAAAGAAAATTGAAAACATTTTAAGGGTCGGCCTTCTCTCCCTAGCTCACTCATCCTGTGATCACCTGGGAAGAACTTTGGGGGTCACCAGAAAAATATGAAAGCACAGAGAAGTTTAATAACACCTCAACTTTGAGCTCAGAGCATACAAATAGCCCTGCCCTTCTTCTTTCTCTGCCTCTATCAAAAAATAAAACTGCATAAGAAGTAGGAATGTAGGAAGTAGTGATGTTAGATTTCAGTTAGAGAATTCTTGGCTTGAAGAATTTTATCAAAAGCACTTGCGTTGGGGGACTTTGGAACTTTTCTAGCTGTGGGAATAAGAGGGTAGTTTGCACTGAGAAAGTTTTGAGGAAGACATTAGGACTATTAGCTGCTAGCATCTTCAAGGTTTGGGAGGATCCAATAAGCCTGTGTACCCTTGTGCAATTTATATTCCTTGGGCTCTGTCTGCTCCGGTAGGCTAAGGTCAATCTTCTAAGAAACACCAAAATCTGGGATATTTAACTAAGAGAGAGAAAGAAAGCTTAGAAGGTCTTTCAGATTACCTTCCTGAATTTCCAATCCAGTTCATAAGGGAGGTGTGAGAGAAGGGTGAAGAAAAGGTGGACATGAGGCCTGGACTCAGAGGGAAGATGTCCTATGCAGGGATAACATGGTGCTAGAACAGCCCTTGTGATCTGTTTCTCAAAAAATGAGCATGACAGATAAAGTGCAGGGGGTAGGGTTGGATATGTCAGCCAGGACCCCAAGTGGGAGCAGTTTGGGGGATTTACCATCAAGAGAATAATTTACAGATGACGTGGATAATAAGAAAACTTTCTGGTCTGCCCACTTTGCTCCATTGACTTGGTATGTGCATACAGTTTTTTTTCAAGGAGAATAATGTTTTCTTTGCCTTTAGCAGTTTTCATTTTAATCTCAATATGCTGAGCCATGGGTAAAGCTCCCTTTCCTGCCTTCTGGGAATAATCTATCAACCAGTGTTTCTTCCCTGGAGAATTTCTCTTCCATCAACTCCCCGCCAGCTCTGTGAGGCAGCAAAACTATTCTCCTAACTAAGCCAGGGTCTATAATAGCTAGGGCTGTGGAATGGAGGCACACCTCCTCCTTTCTATTAGCAAGAGATCCCCTATCAATTTGTAGGAAGCAAGAAAAGAGATCCCAAATAATCAGCTCTTGATTTTCCTGAAAACCTACTTTTGAGGAAGGAGCCCAGTATTTGGAAAAACTGGATGATCTTTCTTTGTGATAGTGGTTTGCAATGGAGATAGGATAAGGAGTTGTATTAGAATTACTCAAGGAATTTTTCATCAGAAAATGCATGCCTACCACTACCCCACACTTGATTCTGAAAAGTCCTTGCAGGAAGCAAAGTTTGTGTGTTTGGCCAGTTTGCCAACAGGCTTTGACATGTTCCTGATTAATGCTCTCTTTCCTATAGATAGTAGAATTATCTGTACAAACCATTTTACTTATAAAATTATCAAAGAACAGAAAAAAAGAGCTCCCAAGTCAGTAGCGCCATCACCTTTGGACTCCACATTTTCGTTCCAACATAGGCTGGGTGGTGGGAGGGGGACAGTGTCCCCAGACATCAGGAAATGCCATCATCTTGAAGTCCACCACAGAGCTGGTTCTTCTGGCTTTGGCCATATAAAGATAGGGATCGTGGAAAGGGACACGCTTCAGATGTGTCTGCAGAAGCTTATCTATTACTTTGACAACTTCTCTAGTCCTAGTGGAATTAGAAAAGGAGGCACTCATCCTTGGGCAGAAAATTGCATCTACGTCCCAGGCATCTGCTTTCGGGGAAGCCTGAATGTCAGGGATTTCACTTTCAGAAGAATCTCTCCTGAGACTATTGGATTGCACATTTTGGTACAGGTTCACTCCAGGATTTTTTTTGGAGCCTAGATGCACAGTGGACCTTCCCGTCTTCACCCTGCACAGAAGGGAAGTCTGGACAGCATATTCTCTTTCTTGCCCACAGGAGCTTTGGTCCTTGCTGTAGCAATGCTGTTTTGAGGAGGCAGCGGCTGGAATGTGGTGGTGATTGGCATACTGAGTCTTTTCAGAGTTCAAATCATCTCCAAGTTTGGACTGCAGTTCCTTCAGGTTCAAAATGGAATACAATATGTTAGTGTGTCCTTCCAGGTAGGGAATACAATTTGATCCCTGTCCTTACTCTCTGGGCACAGAGCTAAGCATAAATCCTGTGAATGTGGAAGCTTTTTCCAAGGTCAACTAAAGACTAACCTTCAAGAGTCAAATAAATGACAGAATCATAGAAACTCATGTTTGGAAGGGGCTTTTGGTGGGTCTAGTCCAATGCAAAACAGTATTTGAATGTCTTCAAGACCCCCTACTAAATTACAATCTGGTTGGAAAACCATATTTATGGGGGCCTCACTGCACCCCAAGGCAGTGCCTTTCACTTGAGAATAATTCTGTTTATTTGAAAAAAATTTTTATACTAAACTGAAATTTCCTTCCCTGAAACCATCCTTCTGCTTTCTGAAGCCAAATAGAATATATTAACTCCCTCTGTACACATGACTTAGCTTATACCCTTAGATGTAGGCAAATTCATGATTACTAAGAGCCATAAGAAAATAATGGAGATCAAAAAGCAGGTCTAAAATATCGATGGCAGCAACAGTGGCAGCAGCAACTAGGCACAGAATTAGCATCACCAGGTCTAATGTTCCCAATTTGTTTCTATTAAAAAAGAAAGCCTGAAGTCAGTATGTCCACCTTCAAAAAGCCATCTAGGACAACGGTCCCACTTTGGCATGAGAACAATTAAATCATCATGAATTTTTATTTGCTTTTTCAGTGCATGGGGGCAGGGCACCCTGCCCACCAGACAATAGGCAGTGATGTGTACCTTCATGCTACAGTCATGCATTACCTAACAATGGGGAATGCTCTGAGAAATGCATCATCAGGTGATTTCATTGTTGTATGAACATCATAGGGTGTGCTTACACCAACTTAGATGGTTTAGCCTACGGTGTACCTAGGCTATATGGTGTGGCCTGTTGCTCCTAGGCTACAAACCTGTACAGCATGTTAAAGTGCTGAACACTGTAGGCAATAGTAATACAATGGGATTTGTGTGTCTAAACATAAAAAGGTGCAGTGAAAATACAGTATTATAATCTTATGGGACCATCAAGGAATATGCTGCCTGTCATCAATGGAAATGTCATTATGCAGCACATGACCTTGTATCCATCCTAAGTGTAAGGTGTCAGACTGAAGAACTCTTGCATACATCGTAACTTTTTTCCATTTTTGCCATCTTTTCCCACTTTTGTTTAGCATTCTGCTTTTCTCTAAGGAAGAGCCCAGAAGCATATGGCTAATGATGAGCAATGCTTTCCATCTGGACACCCTGGTTTGGCCTCCCAGGATCTGCAAAGAACCCATCATGCATCGTCAAAGATCAGAACCACAGCATATGTCCTACCTCAAAGCTATAGGAGAGCTCAAGACACATCACCTCATATTGCATCAGTTCCTCTTCAGGTCGGTCAAGACCAGGTTTGGAACTCAGCTTGTTCACGTCTGTTTCCAAGTCATCATCCTAAAATGGAATAGTCATAGAAGAGATTACAGTCAGGAAATCCACCCTGAGAAGCATCAAGACATGATATGTATGTGCTTCTTCAGAATCTTAGGACATGGTTTTCTTGCCTCCAAATTATAGCACTGGCCCATCCAGTGAAGAATTTGTTATGCTGGATTGTATTTTTAAAATAAAAAGAAAGAAGATAAAGGACTTGTCTCAGCATTTATGTCAGTATTTATCAGCCTTCATCAGAAATAAAAATTTGTATAAAATGAGATAAACTACATAATTGATAAAGCACATTATAAAAGAAATTCTTTATCTCATTGCCACTATCGTCAGCATCATTGTAATTATTGTCCCTCTTTATCTATCTTTGACATTTAGGTTTGTCAGTCTTTTCACAAACATTTAATCAGCACCGACTGTGAGCAGGTACTCTTCCCGGTACTGAAGTTTCGGTCACAATGGAACAGACAAACATCCATGCTTCCATGGTATTTGCCTTTTAGCGAGAGAAGAAAAACAGTAAAGAAGAAAGTAAACAAATGAATAAGTTAATTTCCAACAGTTATAACTCCTCTTGAAATGATAAAAGAGAATGATGTTACTAAGACTGGGGAATGGGAGGCTGTTTGGATTAGGAGATCTCAGGAGGACTCATAAGGAGGTAAAGTTTTAACTGAGACCTAAATGGCAAAAAAAAAAAAAAAAGCCAGCTATGCATAGGCCTAGCAGTGAATTATTAGCAGAAGGAAAAGCTTCAATTTGCTTACAGAAAGAAGGTGGCTGTTGCATACAGAATAAGAGGAAGATTGCAGGAGATGAGATTTGAGAAGTAGGCGGGAGAGAAATTATATCAATCCTTATGAGACCTGGGGAGGAGCTGGTATTCTCCTACTACATCTTTATCCCTTTGTACATTTAAAAATTTACCAAGGCACCGTGAGTCTTTTATTTATTGGACTGAATAATCCCAGGCACTTTATTGTTTATTCTTGATAGATCACCATTTCGAAACCTTTTAATGATGATGGTGACTCTCCTCTGAATACTTGTGTGTTTTCCAAGGGTTGTAGGGTCTTACAGAGAAAAGACACCAGGAATGAACCAGCCCAGTCTCTTCATCTTTTCATATCCTAGATTAAGTTTCCTTAATGAAATAGAGAAAAAAAAAATACCATATGTTTTACAAGTATATTTCATTAGTTAAGGAAAAACCTGGCAGTACTGAAAGGTTAAATCCAATAAACGTGGAAAATAAATGTTTGTATTTCTGATCCAAGGGGCAAAAAAATGCAATGTTCCATCTATGTTTCACAATTTTTCTCCAAACTTCAAATTAAAAGAAAAGTAATTCCCATGAGTTTCATTTAATGATATTTTCAGGTACAGTATACACACCATGACCAACTCCATGGCCCCCACTCTTGTGCTTTGCAGCTTCATCCATCAATTCCTGCTTGCCTTCACCCCCTCCACTGCAACCTCAGCCATGGCCCAGGGTGGTACTAAGGGAAACACAACCTGGAAGGCCACTGGGAAGGATGTCCCCACCAGTGAGTAAGGCTGTGCTCCAACTGGTGCATCTGAAGGGAGGAGAGTCATTCAACCCATGAGCTGCAACCTAATTCATTCCACATGTGACTAGGCGACCCACTTAGCCTTAGAGCAGGGGTTAATAAACTATGGCCCACTGGTTGTTTTTGTCAATAAAGTTTTATTGGAAAAGAGCCACACCCATTCATTTGATCATGGTTGTTTTCTCAGTGCAACAGCAAAGTTTAATAGTTGTGACAGAGACCATTTCTGCCTTCAAAGTTCTGGAGCTTAGTCTCTGAGAACCAGGCACTCAGCCAGGTTGCCACCTCCTTTTGTATTTCTTATAAATGGCATTTATTCTTATCTGGAGGTGGCCTGCTTCTGTGTCCTCACAGCAGCCCAGGCAGTCCTTTACCAGCTAGAATTCTGGTACCCACCTAATCCAGGTAATGCTTTCTGGCTCTTGTTCCATAGGTTGGAGCTTTTGGACATTGTCTTTTGGCTGCCTCAGACTTGAGTTCACCACTCCATTGAAGGTGGTGATTAGAACACTTAATAAGGACAAACTCCAAGTCCACTAGACTGTGAACTCTTTGAAGATAAAAACTATGTCTTATCTGTTTGTGTTTCAGATTATCATCCCCAAGAATTTAGCATGTTGCATACGGATCATACCCAATAAAGCACCTGAAAGAATAAAAAATTAAAAAGAAAGGAAAGGAAGGAAGAAGGAAGGGAGAGCTTGAATTCACTCTGTTTATCACCCTCCTCTTCAGAGTTTGTCAGAATCTAATGCTTGTGTATGTGAAGACAGCCCACATCTAATACGTTGACCTTGGCAGTTTTCAATCAAATCATGGCACCCTACTTTCCACTCTCATAGCCCTTTATGGATAAAAGATCCTCTTAATCATTCTTACTAACAGGCTGGTCCCAATTATTACCTAAGATTGTCAAATGGGAAGGCCACAGGTTAAAGGCCTGGATCAGTGCTGTGGCCAGAAATAAAATATGCCTGACTTCTTGTTCACGCCTCTGGCAGCAAATGCTGCTGGTTTCCCCAGGGAAAATCCAGTTTTCTGGAGCAGTTTCCTTGCTCTTGCTGTGCCTCCAATTTGAGCCCTGACTCTCATGCTCCTCTCCTTCTCTACAATTCATCCTCACACTGACTTCTCATCTTCTTGCCTTGGCTTGAAGCCTTTTGAAGAATAGTTTTCAAGCTCTTACCAATTTGTCTTGTGCTTCTTTGCCAGTTGAGTTTATTTATTTGTTTAGGGTTCTCTCTACCCCACCCCTCCATCCTCTGCAAAGCGTGGGCCAAGGGAACTATCTGAACACCCTCCCTCCCATGCTGTGGGAAGTCAGGCACTATCGTGCACCCGGTCCCTCCCCATCAGATACATGAAGTGGGTGACACTCTGCATCAGACATTCAGTTATCAAAGAGCAAGCAAGAGGGGAGGGGAAAGTGGCATTGATGAATGACTGCAGCAGCACAGTATTATTCAAATAATTCAGCACGTACTCCATAGGCCTGCACCATCAAGCCACAGCAAAGATCCAATTTGCTACGGATGACTTCAGAAATGATTCTATTTATCAACAAAACCCAGAGAACACCAGACTGTCAATAGCAGTCTAAACCTATAGATGTAGCTTAAGAGGTAGTCCCTGTATGTCTGCTACTACCATCAGCAGGGTGAGTGATTATCATGACAGAGAACTCAAAAGCCTCTTTCTTTCTAGACAGATAGGAAAGAAGGAGAGAAAGGAAAGGAGGGAAGATTTTTGATTTTTTTTAATTTGAGTTTCATCCCCAGTAAATGTCATAAAAGGCAGCATTGACCTTAATTTACTGACTCTTATTTTACAGACAACAAAATTAAGAAACTATAACTTAAAGGAATTTGTCAAAGTCCATGTCCACCAACAGAAATGGAGATAGAATTATAATTCACAGACAAATTCTTATTCTAGAGCAGTAGTCCTCAACTAGGGGTGATTTTGGCAAGTCTAAGAGATATTTTTGGTTCATCCCTGGAGGGTAATGAGGTAGGTACTACTGATATCCAGTGGGTAGAGGTGAGGAATGCTGCTAAACATCCTACAATGCACAAGGCAGCCTCCCACAACCAAGAAGTAACCGGTCTAAATGCCAACAGTGCCAAGGTCTAGAAAACTTGTTGTACAAAAACAGTCAGTAAACTATATCCCACTGCTTATTTTTGTAAACAAAGACTGCTTGGAGGCTGGGCACAGTGGCTCATGCCTGTAATCCCAGTACTTTGGGAGGCTGAGGCGGGCAGACCACAAGGTCAAGAGTTCGAGACCAGCCTGGCCAATACGGTGAAATCCTGTTTCTACTAAAAATACAAAAATTAGCTGGGTGTGGTGGTAGGCATCTGCAGTCCCAGTTACTTGGGAGGCTGAAGTTGGTAAATTGCTTGGATCCGGGAGGTGGAGGTTGCAGTGAGCCAAGATCACACCACTGCACTCCAGCCTGGTGACACGAGTGAGACTCTGTCTCAAAAAAAAAAATTTCTTGGAACACAGCCATGCCCATTTGTTTACAAATTGTCTATAGCTGTTTTGTGCTACAACAGCAAAGTTGAGCAGTTGTGACAAAGACTGTATGGTCCACAAAGCCTAAAATAATTACTATTGGACCTTTTATAGGAAGTTCACCAACCTCTCTTCTATAGAATAGGCCTTTTTGGGAGGGGGACCAAAGAGCAACACTTCTCTGCTGGCCAGGTTGTGCACTGTGCAACTTAAGGGAAAACAATTCACAGAGTCTGATGTCAATGGAATTGTACAATGCAGCACCCCTGTGCAGAAAGGATAAGAAGAGTGACTTACAAAGGCAGAAAGCTTCCTGGAAAATCTTTCTAGGGTCTTAAATGGTCTTATCAAATATACCAACTCCAAGTGTTAAATGTGTGCCTAAAGGTCATCTGAATAAAGTATTGGTGTCATAATAATGTATAGGATAGCCTCTGACTTTATAATGAGACATTGTACCGGACCTACCAAGATGAAAATGACAACTTGGAAATCAATAACAGTAGCTATCATTTACTGCGCATCACGACCACTGGAGTGGCAGTACTAAAGTCAGTTCTTAAAATTTACACTGGGCTTGGGCAAACACAGGAAGTAATATTTTTCTGTGCATGATGTGACTATGGACATCATTAGAAGCATGGGCTGGTGTACCTACTTCCACTTTCCCATCTTCAGTATCAGAGTCTTTGTCCACTTCATCATCGCCATCATCTTCAAAATCCTCTGGATGGGGAAAAAGAGGTGAAATAAGTGAAGTTTCCCCTTTGCCCGGGATTTAGGATTTAGATTTTCACCATACAGTGGTTCTTTCTTCTTCCTCTCTCAAATAAGGGGCCCAATATTAATTGCACAATATCCCACCACACACAAATGCTTATTGGTCGGTATAAATGGTGTTCATGTAGGCATGTCGGGGCACTAAGTCATAAAGTTTAAACAGTTATCCCACATTGAATGCAAAATAAGTGCAGAAAAAATGACACATGAATACCACTCTGGATTCTCCCATGAAAGTTAGAGGTATTTATGCAACTAGTGTAGCCAAAGTTTAGAGATCACACACAAACGAAATGTGTTATAACCTAAATATCACCTTGATTGAGCCCCTAATTTTTTGATTGAGGAAGTTATTTAAAACAAAAGTCCATAGAAGGCATCTTGTACCATTGTGGCAAAATTATGCCTATAGAAAATCTGTTCGTACTAGGATCTTTTGACAGGAAGATCTTCCCAGAGATTAAATAATAATACTTTCAAATATTCCAATATGACTAGCCTGCAGTTGTAAATAACAAGAGTTTTATTTCAATTTCATCCTTAGGGCAAATTAATTCCACAGTCAGTATGCTGCAGAGATTCGATCATGGGATTCTAAATAGACTTTTTTAAAATTAGCTGAGATGACTGTACAGGCATTTGATAGCTACCAAGCAAAGCAGAAACAGTTAATAATGAAGAACAAAATAAGCGAGCTTGGTTTTTTCTGTTTATGAAATCACCCTGTTTATGAAAATCAAAACTGCTTTTTCATATATGTCTCTAATTAGCTTAATAGACAATTATGGTTGACCTATAAAATAACGAATTCTATTTTCACCCATGTTCCTGGGAAACATGGTCAAAATGCAAAAACTCATCTTAAAGGTCATAGTTACCAACTTATTTTACCTTCAGGTAGATCATGTGGAGGTTCAGTGGTGATGCACCCGGGGACCGGGAAGGCATAGGCACTGCTGGCTGTGACCAAGGGAAGTGGACTCGTAGGGTAGCACTGCCTCAGGATCTGAAGCACCACAGAGATGACGGGCTCCATGCTCTTGTCATCCAGGCAGTTCTGAGCAAAGGGAAGATTATATCAGATGCCAACATCTGGGCACAGTCCCCTAGCTGTAACACAGCTAATAACACTCTCCAAGCTGTAACACAGCACAGTCTCCTAGCTGTGTTTCAGCTAATGAATTATACGCATGGACAGACCGTAAACAGCCTTAATGTAGAATGTCAAATTTGAACATTCCAACATAGAATTTTGTCTAATGTAGAATCTGCACTTTTCTGTCTCTTGCTCATTTCATACATCACTGCAATGAATTCAGTCTGAATACAGACTTAAAATTCTTTCAAGGGATGCTGCGCCTAAGGCAAGACATTGCTCAGGATAGCTGGGGGAAGAGGAGGCCGGTGTCTTTTCTCAGCCACCCATGTGTCACTGTGAATTATTGCCTACGTTAGGCAATGAGCAGCTGAATTGATGGAAGTTTTGCTTTTCTCTTTCAGCTGTCTTCTGTGGAGAAAAATATTTTTTAAAAAAGATAAAATATGAAATCAGAAGGAAAGACTAAGTGAATCCCAAGTACCTAAATTAAATTACATGCCTCTTCTCAAAGCCCACAGTGTTGATCCCTCTTGGTACCTTCCCAAATCAGAGAAAAATTGGGTTTGCAGATGTAACATTTTGATACTGATGGAACATGACAAGACCCTTCTTTTCAGACACTGTGAAAAATGTAGGAACAAGTTCACTAAATTGAGAGACAGAGAGTTGAGTATAGTTCAGTATCTCTTTGGCAAAAACACAACCATTTTCTTCAGTATCTTTGTAAATGTTTTGTCTACTGACTTGGTACAGGAAGATGACTTGTGGGGTCCCCCAGTTTGCTATTCCTAAAGGGTGCAGAAAGCTCTGAGGCCAATAAGTCACAGAAGTGGAGATGGTGGATGCTAGGTACACACCACAGGGTAGTGTGAATGTCCGTGGTGCTGCTGAACTATGGCATCTCCAGACTCAACATTACAGGTACTTCCATGTGAAAGAACATGGAGGAAAAAAATTAATAAAAATTTTTCCATGAATTTAAGCTACCCAAATGACTCCAAAATATAAGTAAGTCAACTTTCTTTTTTTTTTAGACAGTCTCACTCTGTCACCCAGGCTAGAGTGCAGTGGCACGATCTCAGCTCACAGCAACCTCCACCTCCCGGGTTCAAGCAATTATCCTGCCTCAGCCTCCTGAGAAGCTGGGATTACAGATGCCTGCTACAACACCAGCTAATGTTTGTATTTTGAATAGAGACGGGGTTTCCCCATGTTGGTTAGGCTTGTATCAAACTCCTGACCTCAGGATAAAATACCCACCTCAGTCTCCCAAAGTACTGGGATTACAGGCATGAGCTACCACGCCCAGCCTTAAGTAAGCCAGCTTTCAAAATGAAATGTCTTAATGCAATCAAGAGTGCTCTCTCTCCTTCAGTGTGTGCCAGTCATACCCATCAGGTGTTCTGAATCAACAGCCTCAGGATACACAGCAGGAAATACTCTTGGTGGAAAATGAATTAGTTTTGGCTAATTCATTATGGAGGCTAATGAACAGTTGAAGCTATTTCACCCTTTGGTCTGGTCAAATGGTCTCAAGTGTTTCATGAAAAGTATCAGCAATGGGAAAAAAATAAAACAGAGTCTCAAGGAGGAAGCAAGAAGGTGAAAGAGATGGCTTATCAGATATAATATTCTAAGCTCCAACCTTGGTAGAGATAGAGCCAGCCCAAGCCAGGGAATTCAGTCAAAAAAGCCAACATTTTGGAACCTAGGTATGTTTGTGATGGTCTTTGATAATAAAAGATAATCATGTCTTTTTTGTTGGTGGAATGGAACAAGTGAAAGGATGAAGGCAAGTTCAAATGTTCTGAAAAATTGGGCCATACCACGAACTGAATTTGAAGGCTGGAGGGAGTATTAAAATCTATAAAACCCAAGGCTTTAGGAATCATGATATATTTGCTGTCTGCTGCACTGTAGGGGAAATACTTATGAATGCAAAGATCATTGGTTTCAAGGTGACAGAAATTCTTGAATTCCTTTGTCAACATTTCCCTCATGCTGATGGAAAGGTGCTGTGCAGAGCCAAGACTAAGGTGAGGAAAGGGAGGTTCCCAGGAAGCACTTGCTCTCAGGCTCCTAGAAGTGCAGGGCTGGTACTTGTGCTTTGCATCAAAAAAAGACAAGACTCCAGGAAATAGGATCCTTATGGACCAATGTCTCAGAATTGGAGGGAAAGGTGAGATTTTAGGCTCCCTTTTCCCATCACTCTCAATAACACATCTGCTACTTGGAAGGGATGATGAAATATGAGAATGCATTCAATTAATACATTCAATGCTTCCGTCACAGTTAACATCTTTGAATTCGCTTTGGCGTAATAAATACCCTACTTGCATGATACATAGGCAAGGTAAAGTAAGAGCAAACTGCTCAGGTCCTGGAGCCAGACTACATGAGTTTAAATCCTGGACTAAAGATTACTAACTTCATAACCGTGGCAAATTAATACACTTCTCTGTGCCACAGTGTCTTCATCTGCAAAGTGGAGATAATAACACAACCTCTCTCCTAATGTTGTGTGTGAATTAAATGCATTAAAGTAGGCAAGTGCCGAATAGTAAGCATTTAGTATTAGCCAGTGGGAAGAGAGAAGGCATCCTTAGTTTCATAAAGTCTCCTAGGAGTCTGCAAGAGAATACTAGGAGTCACTGCTACGCAGAGCAGAGTCCTAGTAATAATTCCCATGATAACAAAGCAAGGCATTTTAGTGGAAAAGGACCTTGACTAAGAGTATAAAGTCCTGGGTTTAAATTCCAGCTCTGCTTCTATGTAGCCAAAGCCACGAACATCTCCTGCCTACACTCCTATCAACACTCTAATTCCTCCCCTTACTCTCCTTCCTTCCCCTTGTGCCCTCTGATAATCTCTTTTCCAAATGGCAGCCAGAATGGTCCTTTAAAAGCATAAATCAGTTTAATGGGTATAGAGTTTCAATTTTTCCAGATGAAAAGGGTTCTGGAGATGGATGGGTAGTAGTGACAGTTATACAACAATGTACTTAACCCTACCAAACTGTACACTTAAAAACAGTTAAGATGGTGAATTTGGTTGCATGTATTTTACTACAATTAATTTAAAATTTTTCAAAAATAAAAAAATGAAACACATAAACTGTATCGGGTCAGTCTCCTGCTTCAAACTTGATAGAAATAAAATTCTAATTTATTTTTGTGCCCTAGGAAGTTCTATGTGATCTGGCCCTCCCTATCCCTTTAATTCATGTCCTCTTCTCCTTCGTGCCTCCTTACAAGTTGATGGAGGCCAGGCATGGTGCCTCACGCCTGTAATCCCAGCACTTTGGGAGGCCGAGGCAGGTGGATCACGACATCAAGAGTTTGAGACCAGCCTGGCCAACAAGGTGAAATCCCGTCTCTACTAAAAATACAAAAATTAGCCAGGCATTGTGGTGCATGGCTGTAATTCCAGCTACTCGGGAGGCTGAGGCAGGAGAATCGCTTGAACTCAGGAGGCGGAGGCTGCAGTGAGCCAAGATCACACTACTGCACTCCAGCCTGGGTGACAGAGCGAGACTCCATCTCAAAACAAAACAAACAAAAAAAAGTTGATGGAAGTAAAATTCAAAGTCCCTATCATAGTTCAAGGAACTCTAAATGCCCTGGCACTGCCCATGACTCCAACTCAATCTCATGCCTCCACCCTTACTCACAATGCTCTGCCATGTCTGTGTTTCTCAAGCTCACCCACCTCCCACTCTACTCCCCCACCTGAGGGTCTTTGCATGTACTTTCTTTTTCTCTCCCTGGAACCCTCGTCTCCAGACCCTCATGGCACTGGTTCTTTCTTACTATTCAGGTCTCAGGTGACACAGCAGCTCTTCGACTCCTGCCTGGCATAACCCCTCTCTCCCTTCTCTTTGCGGTGATTCTTTGAACATAGAGGAGAAATTCTAAGCCCAAGGGCAGATGTGGCGTAGCTTCAATATAAAAATATCTTAAATGGAAATGGCTTGATATCTTCTGGATTGTCACTGAGATCTTTCCTTCTGCCTGACCCTCCAAAACGTCCTAGTTGTCCCACTCGCTCTCCACAGCTTCTCTGTCTGTGCCTGGTGGCCACCTCCTGTGCTTCTCTGAACAGTTCACAAACCAAGTGTTTCTCTTAGACTTTTCAAAACGCTCTCCTAGCCTCATTCAAATGTGGGTGCCTTCATGGAGGCTTCTCTGGTCAGCAAGACCAAGTAGGGCCTCCTCTGCATGGTTACACAAAGTCTGCTATTACCCCCACCTGCTGGCTACACTGCATTATCCATATCCTATTTTCCCATATAGGATTCTAAGTTTCCTGAAGATGATGAGTCCTCTATCACCTTCATCTTTGAACCCCCTATAGAACCCAGCCCCAACATCTTTCACAAAGAAGGAGCTCAGAAAACATTTACTGAATAAATAGTAAATGATCTCAGACCAATCTGACCTTTAGGGTATCCAGTTCTTGATTCCAACCTGGTAATATTCTCTTTAGAATTCAGTCCCTCCTTACACAGGTCCACAAGGCTGAGGTCATTGGTCTTGTTGGCCAGAGAGGAGCCTGATGAATCAAGGCTTGGCCTACTGTGCTTTCTGAGCAAATGGTGGCAACTGTGACTTTTAAAAGGCCATATCAGTTCTTATTCCAGTGGTTCTCAAAGTGAAGTACCCAGACCAGTAGCATCAGTATCACCTGAGAACTCGTTAGAAATGCAGAATCTTGCATCTCACCTCGGAACAACTGAAGTAGAAACTCTGGGGTAGGATCTAGCAATCTGTGTTTTAACAATTCCTCTAGGTAACTTTGATGCATGCTCAAGTTTGAAAACCACCAATTTTAGCAACCTTTCAGGCCCCTTAAACTGTTGTAGCTCCAAAGAGTGGTTCTTTTCTCTGATTATCTTATATAGGTTTGTTCCTTCTGCAGTTACCTATTTCTCCAAATTGATAATTATCCCCAAATGTTTCAGGCATCCTTGTAGGAGTTCTTTTTTTTTTTCAATCTTGCATTCAAATTGTCATCCGTCTTCCTCTTTCCTCATGCAAAGCTCCAATAAGATTCCATTATACTACATTACACAGCACCCTTGCTGCACTATGATCTCAGCCTTTGAACTTTTAGGGGATGTTTACAGAATCTGTGCAGAAACGTGAGACTCAGGAAACAGAGAGGTAGGGTCACCAAGAGAGAAACAATGCAAGCAGTGGCCTCAGCAGAAAGGCAAAGAAGAATATTATGATGGCAAAGGTGTGGGAAGGACTTAAAAAAAGTTCCTTTACAGTCAGTCTCATTCTCAGTAGGTTTGTCAGCACATCACAAACATCAATAAAATTAATTTAGGACATTGGTTTTCCAAGTGTGATCCTAAATCAGTAGTATCAGCGTCATTTAGGAAGTTGTCAGGAAAGCACATTCTCAGGCCCCACCAGAGCCCTACTGAGTCAGAAACTCTGAGATTGATGTCCAACAGGCTCTGCTTCAGTGACCCCTCCAGGTGACTCTGATGCATGCTCAACTGGGGGAGCTGCTGGTACAGTGGGCAAAAGCATGGGCTCTCAGGTGAGACTACCAGATTCCAATCCTAGCTCCAACACTTATGAGCTTTGCGAACTTGGGAAAATTACTTAACAGTTACGTGCCTCAGTTTCTTCATCTATAAAAAGGGAGATAATAATAGATCCTACCTCAAAAGCTTTTGAAATTATCAATATTGGAGAGTCTGCATAAATTGCTAAGACAGCCAAGGGATGTATTAATAGTAAGAGTTCAAAGTAACTGTCTTCTCCTTCTCCTACTTCTTCTCTTCCTCTTCCTCCTCCTCCCTCTGCTGCTGCTGCTTCATTAACATTGTCATCACTATCACTGGCAGTAGCAATAGCAGCAGCAGCAGCAACAGCAGCATAATTTGCAAATGGCAACTGAAATAACATCACCAAATCCAAGGCCCCTAAGTTGGCCATCCAGTGACTCCCATGCCTTCTCTAGCAGAAGGGAGAGGAGGGGTGATGGGCAGCTGTAACTCCAGCACACCTGCAAGGGCATCTGTGCTCACAGCACTCACCTGAGGTCTGGGAGGCTACTCAACACTGGTTATGACTGCCGGGGGGAAGAGTAACAAGCCATTTGGTTTCTAAGCCAGGACAGCCTATCTTTCACCTGCAATGATCATTTTCCAAAAACCAGGAGAATGTCAAACATCTGACTTTGCACATAAACTTGATAACATTTTCTCTGGAAGAGCACACCTTTTTTTTTTTTTTTTTTTTTTTTTTTTTTTTTTTTTTTTTTTTTTTTGAGACAGAGTCTTACTCTGTTGCCCAGACTGGAGTGCAATGGTGTGATCTCAACTCATCGCAACCTCCACTTCCTGGGTTCAAGCAATTCTTCTGTCTCAGCCTCCTGAGTAGCTGGGATTACGGACACATGCTACCACGCCCGGCTAATTTTTTGTATTTTTAGTAGAGATGGGGTTTTGCCATGTTGGCCAGGCTAGTCTTGAACTCCTGACCTCAGGTGATCCGCCTGCCTCAGCCACCCAAAGTGCTGGGATTACAGGCATGAGCCACCACTCCCGGCCAAGAGCACACTATTTAAAAGACTAAAAGCAAGGGCGAGTGGTGGTGGTGAGGAATTCAACCTCTTGAGGTTGACACCCATACATTCTATACACTCTTCCAGGTGACAGATGTGTCATGGCCTATTTACTCAGCACTATCCCATAGGCCCCTCCTGAACTGCTTTTCCATATCATACTTGCAGAGATTATAACATGAGCTAGAGAAACCTCACTATAAAGTGCACACTCTGTGTGCACTCACATTCTGCTTCCATTCCAACAGTAGTTCAAGGCTGGAAGCTTCTTGCTAATGTGCTTAATTGAGCAACTGAAGTCTTCACTGACCTGATAAGGAACTGTTTTGAAGAACCTGTGCACAGATTCATAGCACCTCATGCTGGGCTTCATTTGGTGTTTTCTCCACCACCTTTCTATCGTAGACATTTCCCTCTGTGACTACTGTCTTCTTCCTTTATTGGTCTTGTTTTTCTTGTTTGTTTTGTTTATTGTTTGGTTGGTTTTTTAGCACAGAACAGAGAAATAGCCAATAACATGGAGGGCAGAGGAACACGGTAAAGCACTGGACCAGAGTGGGGGGCTGTTAAACATCGGCAATGCAGGAGGGCATTGCACAAGGACTGGGAGGGATTAGAGACTTGGGCAACCACAAGCTTAGAAAGCATGAGGAAGCTTGGAAAAATTCAAAGCCCTGCTTCATGTCGAGAAATAGAAGGTAAAATATAGCTATTTCATGACTGAGAAGCTTTGAAAGCTGTAATGATGGAAAGAAACCCAGAGGTGATAGCAGATAGGGAGTTAGATATTGGTTTGCAGCACTGTATTTTGTTATTGTTTAGCAGGGGAAAAGACCATTTTTTAATGAGAAATGTCTCCAGATACCACGGTTGGAAAAACAACACTCTCATTGGTGGCTTCATTACCTCAGATGTACTCAGATAGAGAAAAACTGGAGGGTGTCCAGAGAAGAGCAAGAAGGCTGATAAAGGGAGTCCAGAGGTGGCCTAATCCAGAGATAATAGGAACATAATGTGTGTGCAACATGGCTGCCTTGGCCCCAGGAGAAGGTGGGTGAGCAGATGATGGATACTGGAACACTTATATCACCAATAAGGAGGGCATATGTAGCCTCAAACTATAGGATTTCAATTAGCCCTAATCAGGTGAAATTAAGGAATTTATTTAGGTTGAAATCCAGGAATCCCTAGAATGCATATTCCAGTGGGGTGCTGATAAGTAGAAACCCTTGAAGACACCATCCCCTTTCCCTGGGATGCTCTTCCTCTGCAACTTGGCCTGACCAGCATGACCAGCTCCTCCAACAACTCAGGTCTCAGCTCAGGTGTCATCTGCTCAGAGATGACTTGACCTCTCTCTCTAAAAGAACACCTGCTCCCTCTACCTATGGCAGCCCCTGTAGACCTATGCCCTTACTTCATTGATTTCACAGTGCGATATGAAATTATCTTCCTCATTGGATTCTTTGCTTACTTAGTGTCTCACTCTTCTGCTAGGAGGTTTTCCCTATAGGATCAAGGGCCTCGTTTGTCATATCCACCACTAGATTCCACTGCTAATTATTCCAATAACGGCTCATCCTCACAACGCAGTTCAGTCATGGCAAGCACTCTTCTAAGCACGGGCCATTTCTACAATAACTTATTTAGTCCACACAACAACCTAGGTTTTGTTATTTCTGCTTTTTTTTGAAGAACCTCAAGGCCCAGAGAAGTTGAGTGACTTCTTCAAAGTTACACAGCTGTAGGCCCTAGAGCTAGGATTTGAATCCAGTACTCTAGTTCTAGAGTCAACACTTAACACTATGCCATACACTGCACCTCTGGTAGTGTGTATTCAACAAATATATGTTAAGTATATATGAATGAACCAATGGAATGAAGATTTTATTGTTGCCGTTGCTGTTGTTTTGAGACAGGGTCTCACTCTGTCACCTAGGCTGGAGTTCAGTGGTGCGATCTCGGCTCACTGCAACATCTGCCTCCTGAGTTCAAGCAATTCTCCTGTCTCAGCCTCCTGAGTAACTGGGACTATAGGTGTGCAACACCACACCCAGCTAATTTTTGTATTTTTAATAAACACGGGGTTTCACCATGTTGGTCAGGTTGATCTCAAACTCCTGACTTCAGGTGATCACCTGCCTCGGCCTCCCAAAGTGCTGAGATTACAGGAGTGAACCACCGGGCCTGGCCTGGAATGAAGCCTTAAATCCAGAACATCCGCCCTTAGCAGGCAACAAGAAATAGACTGAGGCGTTCCCAGCTCTATCTGGGATGATTCCTAAATGACAGCCTTCAGGAATCACCCAGCTGGCCTCCAGCTGCAGAGTGAATCCCCATGCTGCCTGCCTGTGTGGTGCTGAAGAGGATCTCCATGCCCTGTGCTGCCAGGAAGGCCTCCCTGCCGGACCGGAGGGCAGCAATGTGCCTGAGGCAGAGCAGCAAGCCCCGTCGGATCTGCACGTAGGCGTTGGCTGTGTCATGGCTGTGCCAGTCCTGGTGCAGCCCGAGCAGGCTGGTGACGTAGCCTCGGTTCACTGCTCTGCGGCCGTTCGACTCTGAAAACAAAGGGAAAGGCAGGGTCAGTCACAGGCTCTCCACAGCCACACCTCTTTGAGAATGTTCCAGTGTATTTCCCACAAGATACTTATTAATCATCAAGGGAATAATAACATTTTAGTATGAAAACTGGCAGATGTCACCTTAAACCAAGTGATCAAAGTTAACATCCCCAGTAATGGGACAGTCATCACGTGCCACCCGATATGATACACTGAGAAAGATCGGCATCACTTCTATAGTGTTCCTGCCAAGAATGCATAACCCAAGTTGGATCATGAAGAAAATCAGCAAAGCCAAAATGAAGGACATGCTACAAAATACCTGACCTACACTCCACTCCTTGAAAATGTCAAGGTCATGAAAGGCAAAACAAAGCAGAACAAAACATGAGGCTAAAGGGAAATAAAAAGACATGACAAGTCAGCATAATAAGTAATTATAGTTTAAATCTTGGGCCAGCAAACAATTTTTTCTTTTGCTATAAAAGGCATTATTGGGCATCTGGTCAAATTTGAATAAGATCTGTAGATCTAATAGTTATACTAACAGTTTTGTATCAATGTTTATTTTCAGATTTTGATAAACTGGGGTTATGTAAGAGAATACTTTTGTTTTTAGGAAATTCATAATTAGAGTATATGAAAGTCTGTACCTTATTCTCAGAAAAAAAAGAAACATAATAATAATAGTGTGGGAGGAGAGACAGACACAGAGAGAGATTTCCACCAGATTTCCATTCCTCCTATCTGAACTTCAGTGGACCCGGAGGTTGTCATTTGGGTTGAGCTGACTATCAGGTTAGGTGGGGAAGGAGAAGATGCTGAATGAGATATAGTACCTGTAAGGCTGCCATGTCTAAGAGATATGTTGGCTGTCCTTTCTAAAGAGAATGGAAGCTAATTTATATATAATCAAGACTCATAAATTTGTTTCATATAGTTGTAACCTCCACATCCATTTTTTAGGCATGACTTAAGTTGCTTGAAACCCAGTCATACCCTGTTGCCTCTGACCTAGAGAAAACTTGCCCTTCCCACGTGGTTGTTTGCCACATGGCCTGCTTGTTCCTCATCCCACTAACCCAAAACCCAACATTTCCCACATCTGCTGACCACAGTAAAACCCAATGGACAACACCAGAGTCATGTGAATAGGACCTGCTCTTCATGTGCGTTTTCTTTAAACTGCCCAGTCCATAACCCCTGCAGGAAAGCCTGACAGATAACGCCATGAACCTTAAAAAAGGCCCAGTCCCACAACAAGACCTCTCTCTCCCCAGACACTGTTAGAGCTCCCTGCCACCTCCAGGCTCCCCAGCAACTCCGCTTATTCTCCTGGCTCTGTAACGACAGAAACACTTCTGTTACTTCACGGGTTTTGCTGTGCTGCCTCCTCCACACACCCCAACTAACTTTACCCCCTATCAGTGGCTTACAGCCACTCTTGAAAGAGACCCCAAGATCAAGTTAGAAAGAAATCACAGGCCGGGCGTGGTGGCTCACACCTGTAATGCCAGCACTGTGGGGGCCTGAGGCAGGAGGACGGCTTGAGGCCAGGAGTTTGGAGACAAGCCTGAGTAACATAGTAAAACCCCATCTCCACAAAAAATAAAAATAAGCCAAATGTGGTGGCTTGCACCTGTGGCTCCAGTTACTAGGGAGACTGAGGCAGGAGAATCACTTGAGCCCAGGAGTTCGAGGCTGCAGTGAGCTATAGTCCTGAGCAACAGAGTGAGACCCTAGCTCAAAAGAAAAAAAAACAAAGAAAGAAAGAAAGAAATTAAAATACACTAGGCTGAATTCAGGAAAGGAATTCCTCACAGTTAAGGATGTTCAACAAGAGGATAGACTCTACGTGGTAGTGAGCAACAGGGCTCTGAAAATGTTCAGGTAAAGTTCGGAAGCCCACCCAGCAGGGATTTAGTATGGAGCTTTCTCATATCTAATAGGGACCTTTTCAACTCCTTGACTTCTCTGTGTTAGTTCAATATTCCTGTTTGGGACCGCCCATAAAACCGTATTTTACGGACTTAAAACAGAGGAAGAAGAACAGTCCAAGATACCTCTCTCAACAGTTAATATACACTACTTTTCAGGTTAAGCTCCTTGGGCTACAGGGTTGGTGGACAAGCATGTACCGGTTCAGATCTACCCAGTAGATGCCTGGCCCTCTTGGCTCCTAGGGACTAGGTACATTGCAGGGCTCTAACCTGCTGACTCTCAGTCAGAATGCCCAAATTTTGTAGCTCCGTTCTCTCACTACCGCATCTCTCCATCATCGAAACCATTCACACTGGCGTATGAGACAGTATGTGCTTCTGGCTGAGTGTGTGTGAGGGAGAGCCCATGAGGTATAATCAGATAAGCAAAATTTCATCTCAAAGTCAGATTTCTCCCTAAGACCATGTGAGTGCATATGAGTGCAAACAATAACATGGAAATGTAATGCTTTATTCCAGAGGGGATTTTTTTCATAATATTAATAAAACTCTCTTTTTTTCTGCTTGTTTGTCAAATTCTAAATTGTCAGGCTTGACTAAGCCCCACTGATTTTTTGGCCCATTTGTGCAGTTGGTGTTTGTTTGTTTGTTTTTTTCTCTTTACAACATGACCCTAAACAGAGAGTGACGAGCTTTATTCACCTGGTGATACATTTGTGGAGGGTTTGAATTGCCTTCATTACCTCCTTTAATGAATTGTTCTTTTGTATCAAAAATATTTCACTTCCTGGCAGATCTTGGCCATACAGCATGAGAGTTATTTATTGCCTGAAGGAGTTTGCAGCCTATTCAATATCTGATGTTTAAAAGAAAATTGAGAATTAAGTGGGAGGTATTAAAGGACAGTATCACCTGCTAAAAAGATGCCAGAACAACAGTTCACAGGGGCCCCGTGGGCAGCATAAGCTTAAGGACTTTTGTCTTTTTTCTGTTTTAAGAGTATTAGATTGATAATGGGTTATCCCAGTGACCTTCATCCATGTCTTTTTTGGTGGGGGGAGAAAGATAATGAAAAAAAATCTTTAATTTTCTGGGAGAAAAATCCCTTATCAAATCCCAATGATTTTATTCATGATTTCCTGTTAATCCCCAGCAAACTCTCATGTTTACTAACATTTAAAATAGCTAAACCTCCTTCCCCCGCGACCCTACACCCGTCAATCTTTCTCTGAGAATGGCTTGGGAAGTTGTGCAAAAGTCAATACGTATCTAAAATGCGACAAGAGGAGATTCATCAAACTGAGAAAGAGCAAATGTGGAGAAGAGCAAAGAATGAAATGAGGGTCACTGGGATCAGCAACTTAGAGGAGTTCTGGAAGATCTGAGAGGAAGGCGCTGCTTTGCAGGGCCAGGGCAAACAGAGCAGAGATGAGGTGCATTTTTGAATACTGCTCTGGGTGGACTTAGAGTTGAGAGATGTGAGAGGGCTTCAAGTCCCCCTCTTTGGAAGAGACCAGCTCTGCTATAGTCTGTTTACATAAACAGCGTTTTCCTAAGATTTTCCTTGAAACAAAATTTTTATGTTGCTTAATTTTTTTTAAGTTTCTAAATAGATTAGTGTCTATTTACTTATATATATATTTATTTATTTATTTATTTATTTACTTATTTATCTATCTATCTATCTATCTACTTATCTATTTATTTTAAGACAGAGTCTCACCCTGTTGCCCAGGCTGGAGTGCAGTGGCATGATCTCGGCTCACTGTAATCTCTGCCTCCCAAGTTCAAGTGACTCTCCTGCCTCAGCCTCCCGCATAACTGGGATTCCAGGTGCACGCCACTACACCCGGCTAATTTTGCTAATTTTTTTGTATTTTTAGTAGAGACGGGGTTTCACCATGTTGGCCAGGCTGGGCTCGAACTCCTGACCTCAAGTGATCCACTCACCTTGGCCTCCCCAAGTGCTGGAATTACAGGCGTGACCCACCATGCCCGGCCTACATTAGTATCTTTTAAACTGGTTGGAGGATGGGGATGGAATGGACAGAGAGTTCTGAGGGTCTTTCGTATTAACACCTCACCCTCTCCTCTACCCCACCCTAAAAGCATTGACCCTGCTTCCTGGCACCCCCTAGCTCCATCAGGCCCTTGCTGCCAGCCTCATGCTGAAGGTATTTTTTTGGCCAGTTTTCCTTTGGCAAATCCATGAACAACAGGAGATTTATCTCTGTCCTCACCTCCCATTCACCCTTCTATATTCTACTATTTCTGCTTATCTCTCCAGGTTCTATCCTCCAAGGGCCTGACTTGTAGCTAATTCTCAGTCTGAAACGGGACCTAGTGATATCCTTATTTTAACCCCAAGTATTTCTTAACTGAGGTTCACATGTGCCTCTTTAGTGCAGATCCCATTGATGCAGATTTTTACACTTAAAAACTGGAAGGGAATATGCCAAGGTAACAAGAATACTTAATGAGTTGAGGATCAACTGATGATTCTATTTGCTTATTTAGAGTTTTCTGTAGTTTTAATCCTTACGCGTTCTACAACAAACTTTGACAATCAGGAGGAAAAAAAAATGTATCCTTTTGATGTTACAAACTGGTAACCTACAGACTATTAGCCACACAGTGTTGTCAAGGCAAGTGAGAAGGGCAAGCAGTCCACAGGTTGACATAGTAATCAACTCATTTTTTTGTCTAACCCCAGCTCCTTCAGAAGTGAATTACCTGCCTAGCTCGTGAAGGCACTGGAGATCCCAACCATCTTTATAAAGATGTTTGTGGTCTAAACAGGAAAGCCTAGAAACCTTCAAGACTCAAAAAATTGAATTTCTCCTGGGCAATGTGGGGCCACATGACAGGCTGGCGGGGAAAAGTGGTTGGTGTCCTGAATAATTTTACCTGCAAGCAGCCCACTGCTCCTCTTACTTGGCAAAACTAAAGGAAGTTGTTATCACTGCTCTTTATTTCCCATATTTGGGGACTGCCTTATCCTTTTTGGGAGCAGTGATGACCTTAAGCAGAGAAAATGTAGGAGCCTGCAGCAAAGTAACGTATTGGAAGCTTTAACAGCCACAGCTCCAGAAATGAGACATGCAGATGAGTGTAGACTTCTAAACTCATGTACCCCTCCCTGCCTTGCATGTCCTAATCTGTGGGCAGACCCTTCAACTTTCTGTCACTGCCTTTCTGAAATCCTTGCATATAGCCAGAAGCTCCACCACTTTCTAGCTGTGCGACTTTGAGCATGTTACTTTACAGCTCTATCACTCAGTCTTTATCCAAAATAAAACCAATAGTAATCATCTCTCCTTTGTGAGACTGTTGAGAGAATTAAATGAGATAATACATATAAAGTAGATGGCTCGATGCCTGGTACATAATAGGTACAATATCTGTTGCCTGTGGTAACTATCATCATCATGATCAGCATCATCTATTTTTTTTTTATTCCAATGGCTCTCTATTGCTACGGACAAATGTATTAGTCTGTTCTCATGCTGCTAATAAAGACATACCTGAGACTGGGTAATTTATAAAGGAAAGAGGTTTAATTGATTCACAGTTCCACTGTGAATTGTGAGGCTGGGGAGGCCTCACAATCATGGCAGAAGAACAAGGGACATTTTACATGGTGGCAGGCAAGAGAGAGCTTGTGCAGGGGAATTCTCCTTTATAAAACCATCAGATCTCATGAGACTTATTAACTATCATAAGAACAGCATGGGAAAGACCCACTCTCATGATTCAACTACCTCCCACTGGGTCCCTCCCATGACACGTGGGAACTGTGAGAGCTACAATTCAAGATGAGATTTCAGTAGAGACACAGCCAAATCATAACAACAAGAAGAACAGAAGCTTCAGGGGCCCCTAGTTACTCATTTTACTTTTGGCTCTAGTGTTTACTAGCTGTGTAACCTTGGTTAAGTTACTCAATGTTACAGTTTGAACATGTCCCCTCCAAAGTTCAGGTGTTGTCAATGTGATAGTATTAAGAGGTGGGGCCTTGAAGACATGATTAGGCCAGGAAGGCTCTTCTCTTGTGAATGAGATTAAGGACCTTTTAAAAGAGGCTTCACACAGTGTCCTGCTAGCTTGCCCTTTCACCTTCTGCTATGTGAGTATGCAGCAAGAAGGCCCTCACCAGATGCCACACCCTTGATCTTGGACTTCCCAGCCTCCAGAACTGTGAGAAAAAAAAATTCTTTATCAGTTACCTAGTCTCAGGGATTTTGTAATAGAAACACAAAATGGACTAAGAAGGACACTTAGCGTTCTGAACTGAATTTCCATCATCTGTAAATATTAAAGCAATATAAAAAAGATAAAAATAATTGAAACATTCTTACAAGTCCATTATAAGAACTGAAAACATAACTCAGCACCTGACATAAAGTATGTGCTCAATAAATGATCATTCCTTTCCCTACAAAGATGGCATCCAAATTTCACATACCCTTCACCAATGAGCAGAGCCAAAGGAAAAATTTCAAAATAAGTAAAATTTATAACCATTTTCTTCAATCCCCATGGCATGTAGTTGACTTCTCACCCCAAAATGGCCACCAGTCCTACATTGCTGCCTCTCTGAAACACTCCCATACATACAATGAAACACTCCTCTTTACGCATGCTGAAGTTCACACCCCATTTTATACCAGGTGCCATAAAAGGCCATGTCCATGATATAAACCTGAAAATTTCCCTCTCTGGCAAAATGTACACGTATTGAGTCTCATTACTCTAAAGCCTTTTTAGGAGATTAGTTAATCTTCTAAGATCCATGTGACTGATAGCAGTTACATGTTTAATATGCCACCTTTACATTTGATAAGACATATATGAGTAAGAATAAATACAAGGACTTGAGGCCCTCTATCATTCCTGAGAACAGAAATTACCTCCAGCTATACAGAGTACCGTGACATATTCTACCCCAAACAATTGTTGCCCAGAAAGATTAAATAGCTCTACTGTTTCAGAGCCGTCCTGAAAATCCATTCATCTGAACTACTGACAATTCAACTCGTCTTTTTCAGGATAGAAACCCCCTTCTCAGAACAGAAGACCATGCAACTGGGGGGATTGAACTCTTACTTACTCTCCAAAGTTTCCTTCCAAATCCCTTCCTCCCAACCTTGAGCAATTATATTGCAAAACTTGCCTGATCCCAAATAGGACTCCACATTGAAACCCTTGCTTCAAACCACTCTTCTCAAACCCTGCAATTTTCCACCTGAGAATTCCCATTTCTGAGACATTAGTAAGAATAAAGGTAGTTGTGTCCCTAACTACAGTATACGATACCACTGACTTTGCAACAGATTATCTTAGGGGTCTTTTCAGGGAGTCTATTTAGAAGATGTTTCTGGATAAAGTAGTCTCTACTAAGTATTCTAAATCATATTACATGAAAATAAGCTGTCTGCCATCAGAACACATTACAACGTGAATATTTATTTACTAAATATTTCCTATGTGCTCTGCACTAGGCTAATCATCTTATATGGATCATCTCATTTGTCTTATGAAAATGTTTAAAGATAAGTATTACTTTCCCTCTTTTACAAATGAAGACAGAGGCTAAGAGAAGTTAAACAACTTATTTAAGTCTGCAGAGCTTATAAGTGGCATATCTAGGATTCAAATGAAATCCCCTCATCTGACTCCAAAGGTTAATATCCCATGGTAGCCTCAAAGCTCCCTTTTAGTTTTATTTTCATTTTTAATTGATAAAGCAATGATTGTATATATCTATGGAGGTCGATGTGAGGTTCCCGTGCCTATATATATACCTTGGGGAATGAACAAATCGGGCTAATAAACATATTCATCATCTCACAAGGCTGTCAGCATAGTTCACATTCTTTGCACCTATGTAAAGACTTTTAGTTCTTACCACTAATCCAGCTTCTTGAGGAAGATTTCTGAAAGGCTAATGGAGATACAGCCTGCGGTGCTTGAAGAGTGGCTTTTAGCCAATCCCCCTCCTCCAACTTCTCTGTTCCCTCTCAGGGCCCTAAATTGTGGTAAGAGTTGGTTTTTCGTAGGAAACTTGAAAAGGTTTAAAGACCCAAATAAATAGCCTATGGTTCTTTGAGTCCCTGGAGAAGATGTTTTGGGGACTTCTTTACATCCAGCCAATGACACAGTGAGGCCGGCCCAGCAATGTCAGGCCCAGGTGTGAGTGCGGCACCATTGAAGAGAGGTGGAATCAACTGCCACCTCCTCCTGCCCTGCAGCTGCAGGAGTGGCTGGTGCAAAGGAGAACAGCCAAAAGCATAAGGATATGTACAAAAGCATAAGGAAACCTAATGCCATCCATAATGGAAATTATACTTGATTATCATTTCTCAAATAAGAATGATGGTTTTGAATTAGCTTTCGGGTACTTTTTTTCTCTTTGTAAAATAGATACATTTCAATAAACTTGGCTATAAAGTAAATTTTGGTTTCAAGCAAATCTTGTTTTCTCAATTGACTGCCTTTATAAAATTAAAGATGCTTTTCCGAAGCTCCAGAAACCGGGACAGGTAAGAGACTACACTTCAGACCACTGTTTTAAATCTAGATGAATCTATCTTTTTATAAATCCTCAACTCCTTCTAATAACTTGCCACAGAACTAGTCCCAAACCACAGGAATTTCTCTACTTTCAGTAAAGCCTCAGAATCCACACCTTTCTCTTCCTCACACATCTCTGCTCTTCCCCCACCCTCAGCACATACAATGTCTAATGAAGGACCTTAGGTTGCAATGCTGCACCTATGAAGAGAAAGGGGCATGCCTGTAATTCCAGCACTTTGGGAGGCCAAGGCAGAAGCATTGCTTGAGCCAGGAGTTCAAGACCAGCCTGGACAACAGAGTGAGACCCCCATCTCTACAAAAAAATAAAAATAAAAAATAAATTTGAAAAATAAACATAGAAGGCGCCACAAGACTCGAAACTCTTCTGAGTCAACATTCTACATTCCATATGAGGAGTCTATCTCACATACTTTATCAATCCTCAGGCATATGTTTATCCACATTTTAGCATTTCTGAAATTAAGGTGCTTCTTACCAAGGGTGATGTTTTCATTGTAACTGACAGCATTTTCTCACTCAGTGGCACATAAAAAATGGCATACACCTCACAGTTGATGATAGACTTAGATTTGAGAAAATATGGTTGATTTTTCAATATTGCTAGTTTGAAAATTCTCTAACATGGTAGACTCTTGGGAGGTTTGCTTCTTAGATGCAAATAAACATACAGGCCTTTGTCCGGAAAGCCAGATTCTCCCTATGGCTAGGCAGAGAGTAAATTATAAACTAAAACCATGTTCACACACCCAAAACCCAAGGTACCACCCTTAATCCATTCAGCAAACATTTATTTAGCAACTACGATATACCAGTTGTTCCAGGCACTATTATTGACAACAGAGATGCAGCAGAAAATGAAATAGAGAAAGCCTCACCTCTTATGGGGTTTGCAGTCCCACAGGAGTGGCAGGGGGAGGCAGATACCAAATAGGCACACACAAAGAAAACTAAACAAGGCAATTTCACATAGAGACAAGTGATACAGAGAAAACAAAACAGTGGCACTAGAGTGATGAGGTAGGGTGGCTGCTTTAGGTTGGATGATCAGGGAAGACCCTTGAGGAGGGGGCATTGGAGCTGAGGCATGAGCGACAAGAAGGAACCAGGATGCAGAGATCTGGGGATAGGAAATTCTTCAAACCTCAAGGGCACACAGCAAGTGGATAAAGCAAAAACTTGGTAAGTACAAATAATGAAAAGTCCAGGAGCTAAAGCCAGGTGAAGAAAGCAAGGGGACAGTAGTAGCAGATGACGGGAAAGGTGAGCAGGGATCAGGATGTGTGACCCCCCACCATTTTGAGACTCATCCCAACAGGTTGTGCAAAAGCGGGGGAATCTGTCAGGCTGAGAATTTCTCACTCGCCTTTCTGTTGTTTTTGCATCTCTGCAAGAAGACCCTTCAGAATAATTGTCTTAGAAATAGGCCTAGAAATTTGTATAGGAGTTTTTTTATCCATCCAAATTTTTATTTTGAGTCTAGACTGTGGGTGGGGAAGGAAGTACTTGCTAAACCCCAAGACAAGCCATTATCCCTTCCAGGTCTAGAAAATCTTCCACCTGGTTTGACTTTGCTGTGTCCACTGTCAACTCATCAGAGGATGACACTTAAAGAAGAAAGCCAGGATTTACATCAAGAAGAAGAAAATCAGAGACCTTCCCTCACCTTCCTTTCTCCCCAACTTGATATTTAAGGCACCCGTCTGTCCACCAGTGATGCTGCCTGCTTCTGGCCAGAGTACAGACAACCAACATAGACAGCAGGAAAGCAATTCTGCCCTGCGTTGCAAGCATCGCTCATGAATCGGTTCACACTGCATTGTGCCTCTAGGCCCTGAGTGTATGAGGAAGAGGCAAATAGCAAATGCTTCTGCACCCCTGAGCCTGCCACCCTTCAGCCTTATGTCAGCCAATAGTGTGTCACTATTGTTATAGGAGTTATTAAGAAATTATTTTAGGCAGATACAGAGGAAAGAGGGTCCTTGGGAAGTTTTTGTTTCTTTTAAAGTAGCTCCAGAACGTTTCTTGTCTAGCAGGAAAGGCCCGGCTTTTAGAGCTGGGCTGGCCAGCTTTGATATGCAAATGTGGGCCATTAAAAACTGAGTCCACCATTAGAAACTGGGCCCACCCACATCTTCTTGCCCTTGCCCCAACATGTGCCTGGCAACTTGGCGCCCCCCCGCCCCCCCCCGCCCCCCCCCGCCCACATATCCCCGTGTGTGTGGAACATCAGGGTACCCTGTATTTGCATATTAAAAGGCTAGGGTGGGAGGGTCAGTTTTTTCCCCGGGCTATGTGAATGACACGCCTGGTCAAACCAATCCCCTGAGCCCTATGCAAATCAGATACCCCCTCCTCCAGCCTCCAGCTGATTTCTGCCGCACTCTGGTTTCCTCTCTCGGCTTTGGAGCCCCCCTCCCTCTGTCTCTGTATGGGGAGGCTTCTTCCTTCTTTCTTTACTATTAAACTCTCCACTCCTTAAAACTACTCCATGTGTGTTCATGTCGTTTTATCCAATTCGGCCCGAGACTAAGGATCCTGGTGTTCCTCCAGTCCTCAGAGCTGTAACACTATGCAATCACAGAACCTTGAGCCGTGTGCATTCTCCTTTTAACTCAACTCCTATCACTCTCGATATGTCCATCCTCTCCTATTACCTGGGCTGCACCAGCAATCAATAGCCTCATATGTGACCCCAATGCTTCCATTCTCTCTTCTTCTGTGCAATGCATTTTATTGAAGCAGAATTTGGATGCTTCATCCCCTACTGGAAAAAAAAAAAAAAAAAAAGTAGTAGTTTCCAGGGACATCTGGAAGTCTGGGGTGCCAAGAGATGTCTAGTGCTCTGTGTGCCTCACGGTCTGTGGGCAGTGGTTGCCATACTGTGTGCCCCTGGGACTGGTGGAAGGGGCTAAGAAAAAGGCTGAGCAGCGTCTCTAACTTCCATTGTCCCCAGAGCAGCTACACTGTCATCTGTTTATATACAGTGGCTCTGCAAAGGATTTCATTTGAAAATAAAAATAAACATTCATTTCTTTCAAAAAAAAGTTTAAAACCTGCAGTAGTGAAAGGAAGGAGTAGAGGTTAGTCCCAATATGCCAAGTGCATATTACACAATCTCGGGCAAGTCAGTCAATCTCTTTCGGCCTCAGTGTCCTCTGTATAGAACACTATTTTTCTCATCCTCACACTACTGACATCTTGGGCTGATATTACTCATTGTGTGGGGCCATCCTGTGCATTTGTAGGATGTTCAGCAGCAATCTGGCCTTTACTCAGTTGATGCCAGCAGCACACCCTCTCCCACCACAGATGTGACAACCACAAATGTCTCCAGACCTTGCTAATTGCTCCCTCTGGGGCAAAGTCACTCATGTTGAGAACTACTGTTATAGAATAATTAAATATTTACCCGTCTGACAGGACCATGGTGAAGATTAAATGAGATTGTATATATGAAAAGCTGCTTTGTAAACTGCTGTTATTAGAAGGTGCTAGGAAACACCTTAGGTACATCTTGATGTAAATAAATAATTGTACAGCCAATCCTGAAAGTGATGAGGAAGCCATGATGTACTTTCTGAGTCATGAAATGTTTATATTTTTCTCTATCTCCTTAAATCTTTGTGATAATTTATCTTTGTCAATCCATAGCCAGTCATCAATTATGCCGGGATGATACAAGTTCTAAAATTTAAGACATTTAGAACTCATCAACCTTGGATATTAACCTTTGATTCCCTAGAGTAAAACAAAACAAGTGCATGCGGATTGATTGAGCAGGGTTCAATCTGCACGCATTCACTTATTCACTGATTCCTTTGTTCATTTAGATAACTTACTCTGAGTGTCCACTCTATAAAACACATTAGAGTCAATAGCTTAAGAAATAAGGAAGAATGAATAAGAAATAAGAATAAGAAGAATAGCTTAAGAAATAAGAATAAAACAGAGTCCCCAGATCCGAGGCTCACATAGTCTAAAGTAGGGGGTCAGCAAATTGCCCACAGCCCGTTTTCATGAAGTTTTTCACTTCTTTATATGTTGTCTGTTGCTGTTTTTGTCCTATAAGGGAAGAGTTAAGTAGCTGTGACAGAACTGTCTGATCCACAAACCGTAAAATATTTACTATCATCTGGCGCTTTTACAGAAAAAGCTTCTTGAAAAAAAGACAGACTCTAAAAACAACCAGATATCATTCAACCCTCGGGGAAGATCTTGGGAGACAAATTTACATTTCATCAGGCTTTATGCCCTTATATCATCACTTCCTGAAACCTCCAGGACTTTTGAAATGGTGATGACAATAAAACAAGAGTTCATCTTTATTGAGATGTACCAAGATCCAGTACTGTACTCCCACTCTTTTAAACATCACCTTGTTTAAATCTTACCAATTATCTTTGGAGTGTACTGTTTTCCCTGCTTTACAGATGAGGGAAGTGTAGCACAGAGTCATTAAGAAACATGCCACAGTGGCCACAGTTCAACTCTACACAGTCTTTCCAGAGCCTGCACAGTGACCACTGAGCAAGTGCTATTCTCCACTGTGACTTACTCTTTTTTTTTTTTTTTTTTTTTTTGAGATAGAGTCTCACTCTGTCGCCCAGGCTGGAGTGCAGTGGTGTGATCTTCGCTCACTGCAACCTCCGCCTCCAGAGTTCAAGCAATTCTTCTGCCTCAGCCTCCCAAATAGCTGGGACTACAAGTGCATGCCATCACGCACAGCTAATTTTTGTATTTTTAGTAGAGACGGGATTTCACCATATTGGTCAGGCTGGTCTGGAACTCTTGACCTTGTGATCTGCCCACCTTGGCCTCCCAAAGTGCTGGGATTAGAGGCATGAGCCACCGCTCTCGGCCTTGTGACTTACTCTTTCGGAGTAAGAGTTCTGAGCTTACAGGGAACATACACCATTCTGCACACATGCCACCAAGCCACCTTGAGCACTTTTATACTATGGTCAAAGAAACAACATGGCTGAAACCTACAAGCAGATACACAGGACAGAGGAATAGCCCTTGAGATAGAACTAAGTCTTGACAGGATCTCCTGATAAAAGACAGCATCCTGCATGAGTGTAAGAACTAGGATTAGTGGCAATCACAACCCAACAATATCTTATGTGACCAAGAGTTTTGTCTCAAACAAGAAAAACTCAACACCACCATCCACAGCTGTGTTGGACCCAGAATGGGTGCCTGGGAACACCCTGGCCACCTTGGGAAGGTGGAATTATACTGCCCATCCTGCCTGCCAGTAAAATCCCAACTGGAAGCTGACCCTCCTCACTGGGTCAGGTTCAGTTCAATTGTTTCATTAGGTCTGTTAGTCCCAAGAGACTCAGAATTTACTTGACTAGGGCTGGAGGATGAGAACAATATTTTGGATCTTCCTCCAGGTCAAACTTCACTAGTTCTTCCTTCTTGCCACTGCATAGTAAGATTTAACACATTTTCAAACCTCCCAAGGAAAGTGTCAGCCCATTTTTTAAGTTGTAATCTCAAACAACAGACTGGGCTCTGAAAGAGTCCCTTGAGTATATTTACTTCAGAGGTTTTCAAACTTGATTTCTTCTGGCCCCTCAGGAACTTCTTTGGGTGTTTCTCAATGCCTATCAAGAGGCAAGGAAAGGGAGGGGCAAAGGACAAGTCATGCTGTCATTAATTGGGGTCTCCCCTTACTCCCCATTGTTTGCTTTATGCATGCAATTTCCCTCAAAAGATTTTATGTTCAAGAAAAAAAAAAAAAAGGTTTTGCTACTAAAGAATTTCTAATCTCCTCGCCTGGGCTAGCCCTCCCATGTTTGAAAAACCAAACTGAAGTCAAGTGTTTGATTTCAGTTTGATAATTGGTAAGATTTAAACTAGCAAAGAACTAGTTTAAAGTCACAGAGCCAATCAATGGCTGCATTGAACCCAGAGTCCAGTTTCCTGACTCCATGTGGAAGGTGGGAATAATCTTTGAAATATGAAGCTTTTCTCCTTTGGAAATGGTCACAACTGAGTTCAAATTTTAGCTCTTCGTTTACCATGTGTGGGATCTTGGGCAAGTCACTAACCTCTCCTGATTACACCTTCCTTGCATGTAAAATGGGGATCATAATATTACAGGCTCTAGTGAGAATGAGATGCCATGTGTAAAGTGCCTAGCAAGTGCTGTGCTCCGTAATTATTGATAGTCATTATTCAGTGCAGGTACTCTAATAAACACTCATTCTCTCCCTACTCCCTACCCTCCTTCCCACTTCGCTGAGGGCTGGCAGTAAAAGGTTCACAAAATATACTATGACACGGCATGAGGGCTACATGCAGGGCGGGGAGGCAGGAGGGCATTGTCCTTACATGGTGTTTTCCTGACCAGGCAAGGAAGATAACAGGTTATCAAAGAGCGAGAGGGGAAATGGGGAGACGTAACTACAAGATGTTCTAGGATTCACCAGAGGCAGCTCTGAAAAAGCAGCTCCGGGTGCTCCTGCCCTCCGTAAGTCCCGATCCATCATGCTAACATCACTGAAAATGCAACAAATTCCATCGGCTGTTCCCACCCCTGGCTCTGCTCACCCTGCCTCCTCCCAACTCCCTTAAATAATGGCTTAGCAAATGCCTCTGAGACCATCTTCAGCTAATTTCCTTCAAGACACGCAAGCTGCTAACGCTGGGAAGCACAGATAGTATGGAATAGCAAATATGGCCAAAATTACATTAAAATAACCTCCTGATAAACAAATTACTCACTGAAAATAAATATTGGACTAGCGCGGCCAAGATAACTAAAAGAACAGCACCACCACATGGCCGGAAGAGGAACGATATGCTTTACTGTCTGCGGCTCAGCCCAAGGCCCGCCCAACCTACTGGGTCTGACCGTCCCAAGGGGACAGGGATGGGGGCGACGAGGACAGGTAGTATCCCTTTAGCTTAAACCTTTTAAGCTCTTCTATGGACTTATGCAAAAGACATAACATTTTGGCAGAGAGGACTGAATTTGGAGCCCAGGAAAAAAAGCCATGTGCCAAGTTGAACACAGCATGGCATGAGGAGTCTGTAATTCTTCCTGCTTCCTTCCTCTCTCTCACCCCACCATTCATCGGCCGGCCTGAGGCTCGGCCTCAGGGCAGCAGAGACCCTGGCCCTTTACACAGCCATGGTGGTGTGCTGGGTACCTCTTGCTGGGTCCCACTCAGATGCCTACAAGGCATGGACCATGTTCTTTTCTAACCTCAATGACAGATACCCCCTCCCACAATAATCCTTCTAATACTTAGACAGTATTTATTTAGCTTTTTTTCAGCTTCCAGTCATATCTTCTTTAGGCTAAATAAACCTAGCCTCATTAATTTCCTCGGTTCAGCACAGAGCTCAGGTCCCAGGGGTCTGGAGACTGGCAGGTAAGCCCTGCAGCCCACTAACGATGTGAGTTACTTCAGCTTTCCAAACTTCAGTTCCTACATCTGTAAAATGGGGATTATAAAATCTCCTTGATAGGCTAACTGTGTATAGAGTGCCTGACATACTAAGAACTCTTGCTAAATGGTAGATATTTGGGTTGTCATTTCAAACCAACAGCGTGATGGATATAGCTTGCTATGCTGCATTCCTGCACACTCAATCACAGCCGTCCATCCCAGTGTAACAAATGCAAAAATCTATCAATATTATTTGAAGCAAATTTTTGGCTCATCACAGAAATATACTGCATGCTTCTCCAGAAGTTATGGTGGAAGAAGAGACATCAGCTCTATAATCATGCCACAATTTGATTCCTTCTGGGGACGGGAATTAGGCTGGACTCTTCACCAAGGCATACTGAAAGCAAATGTGTGAGGCTAAAGTCAGGAACCTGGAATTCTTTCTTAGTCAACATTAATGTATTATCAGCTACTCTGGGTGTAGCCCAGTATGAGGTATGGGGGATCCAGTAGAATCCCAGTTCCTTTGGAGCTATACCCAGTAGGAAAAATATGCATACACACATAATATGCAAAAAAAACATGATTCATCAATTACAGTATGGTTAGTTCTCTGAAATATAAACATAAGGTTCTATGAACAGTGTTATTTGTGCCAAGACCCAAAGAAGGGCTGGACATGAAACATTCGAAGTCTCAGAGATCTAGGTGGATCACGCCCTCTCTCTGGTCCTCAGTTTCCTCCTGTGAAAATAAGGGGGATGGGGGAGGTAAGATCAATAGTTTTCTGTGTTCACAGGAGCCCTGTTTTTTGTGACTGTGTCTCAGAGGCCGCCTTGGGGCTAATTGATGGGAGCCGGGCAGACGTGACTCTGAGCTCTCTACTCAAAAACTGCATGTGTCAATTACCTCAATTCAACCATCACAATGTCTACATATTTCAAAGCATCATGTGGTGCACCACAAATATATACATTTTAACTTTTCAATTAAAAATGAATAATAAGAACGAATTTTTAAAAACAAATATTTGAATATCCCTGGATGAGACAGCCTTGAAGGTGTTTTCCAGTTCTCGTAGTCTGACTCCATGGCCCTCATCTGGAAACTAAAGGAAGAAATACACTCTGTGGGCAAAACTTTGGGGGCATCATTCTCATCAAGGCAGGGCAGAGCCCGGAGCCAGGAGGGCAGACCACAGGCAGTGTGGAAACACAGAATTTACATGCAAGTTCAGTGACAGCTGCATTGATCCACTGGTACTTGTGCATGGTCATGAGATCAAAGGATTAACAATGCCAACCATCCTAAACATATATTGCCATTCTGAGGACTCCTTGGAACTCTTAGAATTCTTATAAAGACCTGATTTGGGTGCATATCAAAGATGGCCCCTTCTTTGACATTTTGTAGTAGAGCAGCCATTTGGCCATCAATCACATTCTCCCGTCTCTGCATTGCTGATTGCCAGGTCACAGCAGACGACTCCTGAGACTATGAGGCTGTCTGTTCCTGATCCGGCTCTCAGCACTTAGAATGCCCTCCCTTCCTAGCCTCCTGGAGCAACAGGCTGACGGGCTGTCCCTGTGAACCAGCCAGACAGAGCATTAACGAGGAAGATCTGTGAGAAGTCTCAACTTCCTGCCAAACTTCCCATTAGCTCTTTTACATCTCTCCCTCCCCCTTTTCTTCTCTGTCGCTCTTCCTTTGCTAACTTGCTTTTCTGTTCCCATGCCCCAACTTCTGCAAACTTCCAGACTCCTTTAAATGCTAATTCTTAAATTGGAGAGTGGTCTGACAGAGACTTATCATTCCCTTATTAAGTTTTAGGGCCTGAACCAGAAGGCGTTTTCTTGTTGCAAGAATATGACCTTTAAATCTGGACAGCAAGGTTAATACTAAGACATTATTTGAAGATTCATTTCTGGAGCCAGTACAAATCAGGCATAATCCCATTGCCGCACACTTACTCAAGTGCCGCTTCCAGGGTCACAATTTTTCAAAAATGCATTTATGCCTAATGCTCATGGAAGGTAATTGAGGAAGCAAAAAGAAAGAGGGAAAGGTGGACAGGGAAATGAGAAATGACAAAAAGGATGAGGGAAAAAGAGGAAAAGACAGAGATGAAGGTAGAAGAAGATGAGATGAGATAAAGGCAGAGTGAAGGCAGATGATAAGAAAGGGTGATATGGTTTGGCTGTGTCCCCGCCCAAATCTCATCTTGAATCAAAGGGACCTGGTGGGAGGTAATTGAATCACGGGGGCAGTTACCCTCATGCTGTTCTCCTGATAGTGAGTGAGTTCTCATGAGATGTGATGGTTTCATAAGGGTTTTTTTGCCCTTTTGCTTGGCACTTCTCCTTGCTATTGCCATGTGAAGAAGGACATGTTTGCTTCCCCTTCTGCCATGATTGTAAGTTTCCTGAGGCCTCCTCAGCCCTGCAAAACTGAGTCAATTAAACCTCTTTCCTTTGTAAATTACCCAGCCTCAGGTATTTCTTCATAGCAGCATGAGAACAGACTAATACAGAGGGAAAAACAAAGGACATGTTGTTTTGATTTATTATATTAAAAAATTTCCTGCAATAATAAGTAGCACTATTTCCTGACTAAAGCTTTACTACATTTCAGGAATAAAAAGCTAAATGTGTTTGGATAGGATAAAGCATAAAAAGGCAAAACTTTCAATACAGGACAATTTAGGGTGGGATTTGTGCATGTGAGAGTGGAGAAGAGGGGAACTGATACAAGGAAAGGCACGGGATTTGGATTAGACCATTCCAGCCTACATAGACACAGAAAGGAACCTTGAGTGAGCAATGATTTTTAATTTGTAGGATCCCAAATTGCTGAGATAACTGGAGAAGAGAACTAGGATTTCCAGGTTTATTTTGCCTGCTATTGCCCAGAAAGAGACAGAGACGGGAAATGTGTTTGTTCATTTTTCTTTTCCCAACACCCACATATTCTACACTGGCTTTTCATGCAGTCACTACTTGATAAAAGAGAAAGCTGAATAATGAGATCTTCCAAATGCAATGCAGGTGATCTTTCCCTTGCTTTCTGTGGTTACTGTGGGTAGACTCCAAGTCTCCCTGATCCCTCACTTCTGCTTTTCCTGGGGATGACCTCCGCCTGTCACTACTTGATAGGGCCTCAGTGGCCTCAGATTTCCAACCCACCCTAGTGTTTACTGTCACAGGACCACTGACTGCCCCCTCTCCCTGCAGAGTAGTGGGTCTTTACTCCTGGCTTTACTTAGATCAGAGAATTATTTCCTTTTTGGGATGCAATTACAGAGAACGATTACAATGGCCAACTTTTACACTCACTGACAAGCAAAGATCAAGCTCAGAATAATCACCAGCTAAAAGGAGTGTGCCTTTAGGAGCTAAAGGTTTACATAAACGTTCCCAGATATCAGTGCCAGATGGTGAAGTCTTGAATTTTAGACAGAAACTGACTTCCTGAATTTAAGTTCGGCTGAGGCAAACTCACTCTGGGGTCCAAGTCGAAAGATATTCCACATCAGGTCTTAACTATACATGACATATAGGCAATGTAAAGCAAATAGAAAATTCCACAACACTTCTATGCCCTGCAGCAACCCCTGACTCATCAGAATGTTGGTACCATCTATAACCAGACCCTTCATGCCATCAATACTTTTGATAGGCTGGTAAAACAAAGACGGCAGCTGCCTAGCATGCTGTTATTACTTCTCCCCAAATCCATGACAGACTTTGCGATTTAAATGAAGTCCTCTTTCTTGCTGAGCTTAAACATGATCTCAGAATTCTCCTACCCACACATTGGACTTTCTACTCATTATTAAATCTATTTGCCCTCCTCATTCTCAGACCCTCAAGATCCTGTAGAATCTGTTTCCCTCCAAAGTACTTTGTAAATGCTCACAATGACATTCTGCCTTCAGTGTTCTTACCTCTTATGAACCCATATGAATGAGGCTGATACTGAGGAATTTCACATCAATTATGCAAGAAGTGCATTTCTTGGAAATATCAATAAAGGTATTTTGGAAGGGGTCTTTTGAAACTTTGAATGAGCTTCAGCTCATGTGTGTACCCAAATACATACACATCAGTGATTCTCAACAAGTGGAAATTTTACTGTCCACCCCCCATGGGGGATATTTGGCAGAGTCTGAAGATAATTTTTTGGTTACAACTGAGGCATGATACTGGCGTCTGGTGGGTAGAGGCCAGGGATGTTGCTGTATATCCTGCAATGCACAGAACAGACTCTAACAGCAAAGAATTATCCTGTCCAAAATGCCAATGGTACATTGAGAAACCCTGATACACATTAAGGCTGAGTATTTAGTGTTAGAAAGAATGTTAGAGAACCTCTCATCCAACTACCTTGTGTTATAATTAACACCAAAGATGTATAGACAGCTCAGCAGAATTAGCAAATAGGCTATACATCCTCCTAGTGGGACACTAAAACCCGTTTTATATGTGGAGGACAGCAAGCTATTGCAGTTCTCCACCAATCTGTTAGAACAGGTAAATAGAGATGAGAATCACAAATGTTTAGATCATTGGTTCTATGCATGGATGTTAGATTCTGGTAGAAGGGGGCAGTACTGCCATTTTTACACATGGGAAAAATCACAAATCATGTATTCATTTAAAAATTTGGTATCCCAGTACTCAAAATTATTTTAAAAAGAAAACAACAACAAAAAAAATTTAGTCAACAAATACTTATTTCAGGATTTTCATTGTGCTGAGGCAAGTAATACAACAACCAATACAGATGACTCTCTCCCTCAAAAGCTTGCAGTCTGCTGGAAGAGACAGACAATAGCAATTTCATCACAATGTAATCAAGTCTGAGTTGGGAGAGCCTATAAAAGCATTGGTGAGGGGCATCCAAGTTGTGGTAGTCAGAGAAAGGATTTTCAGAGGAGGCAATATCTGAGCTAAGCTCTAAAGGGAAAGAAGAAGTTAGAAATTCTAAAAGCTGAGGCCCATCACTGCACACTCAGCCTACTAGGCATGGCTGGTGTGTTGAAAACCTAGCTACACGGTCTGAGCCTGAATCAAGCCGTGTTTGCACTGGCTATTGGTTTTTCCTGGGCTGAGGCATTGTGTTCCTGATCAATAGAGTAAACAACTGACATAAGACTACTTTCAGAGTTTTACACATCTAGGTAGGTACAATTTATATCAGGATGCTCAACCGTAAGCTCAAGAGCTAAGGAAAGTGTGTATGTAGAAAGTAAGCCAGCCTTACTCAGCTCTCTGGGCTCCCTTCCCATGAAACATCAAGTCCTCCATGCCAAGGCTGGGCTGGGGGGATTTGAGAGATAGCTTCTTTCCCAAGGCATGACATTCACAGGCTGGCCTACCAGGCTGCTCTCAGCATCTTTTCCTCCTGCAATTCAACACCCCCTCACCTTGGTGCTTCAAACACCAGGCATTTGGGAGCAACCGAGGGAGCAGATAAATAATGAGAACCGAGATGCCAAACCTGAAGCAAGTTCAGTCTGAAGAATGAATGGTCCTCTCCCCAGAACCCACAGTAACACTTTTCCATCCCTTCCTATCTCCAGGGCTTCATAAGCCCTTCCTCTTCACTCCCCTATCCTGCTCTTACCACCTCCACTCTACCTGCAGGTCTTTAAGCTGTGGATCTCATATCACAGCTTATCAAGTTATCTCAAGTTATCTCATATCACAGCTTATCAAGCTTATCTCATGTCAAGTCCACAGATGTGGACTTGCATCTCATATCAAATTCAAATAAACCAAATGAATTCAAGCTTCAATTTTTCTAAGCCTATAAAGGGAAACAGCATGTGATTTGGCTCTTTCTCTCTGCTTATAGTTGACAGAGATGTATGGATGGGGGGAGAGAGTGTTTTTATTTTTATTTATTTATTTAAAAGTTTTATTAAAGTTCACCTATTACCCACAGGCCTCAGGCTCCCTATAGAGAAACAAATATCACAATTGAAGCAGCTGGCTTCCAAGGTGCCAAATTAAAATAGATGAAGAGGTAAGGAGGAAAAAATGAGTAAAAACATTAAGCTAAGACTTCTTCCCTCCCAAGTGCATTGTGCCTGCTATTATATTGCACACATGAAATTGACTCCCAACGTAATTAGGCCAGGGCTACCAGGCAAAAAATTCCTCAAATTATTCAGAACCCCAGAGCTATTCTTTTGCAATCACTCAAGTAACTGAGAAAAGAGTCAACTTTTAAATATAAATTTGTTATCAGCATCATCATTGTCCAAGCAATTCCCAGCACTCCACCTGCCCAAGAATATAGACTCATGAGCTGAGCTGAGTTGAGAACCAAATACAGGAATACTTCTCTCCAGCCAGCCAAAATCTTTTCTTCCACTGGGACCTGGAGGCAATCCCACTGGAACCTGGAATTTATTTCAACAATCTTTAGGGACTGCTGGCTCTGTTAGACAGGGGTGGAGGGTCCATCAGCTCCACAGTAGTCAATATACCCCCTTTAGGGTCCATTGTCTTGGTGGCATTGTGTATGGATAATATTTATTTTCTCTTTGTGGTCATGTACCTGGAACAGCCATAATATTCTCTATCTTACCCCCAAAGACCCACGACATGACTTTATCACTTTCAAGGTCAGGAATTAGCCATAGGTGATTGAGAAATAGTAGTTCATGAAAAAAAAAAAAAAAGAAACAGCCATGGGGACCAGAAAGTATCTTTCATTAAACCCAGAGTGGAGAGAAATAGCCACCCTTCAAAAGAGGTGCTTACTGGATTTCAGCAATGCTGCCAAAACTTCAGTGGCTGCCCTGGGGAAAGAGAAAGAAAAGTAACAGTCAACATTCAATGGTCTTTTTCTCAGCACATGGATCCCACAGCCAGCATGCCCATTGCCACCCCATAACAGACCCATGATTAACCAGGTAGCAGGCAATCTATTGATTGCCCCGCTGACCATTAAAGAGGCATAAATGCAGAAATAACGCTGAGCGAAGTGTCCGTCTTGTAGATGGGTCTCTGAGGTCCCCTCTGCTGCTGAAAATCTCTTTCTCTCCCCTGCTTGCCTCCCACCTTCCACCAACTTCCTTGCACAGAGTGGCTCATTTTTCTATTATTCATACCAGGCAGAGCTCTTGTCAGTCTCTTGATTTGTTTGTTTCTGGAAACTTGCAGGGACTCTGGAGGATGGTCTGGGAAGGAGTGGGGCTTGGGGGCTTAGTGAATGTAGCAGCACAGTGCAAACTTCTTGAAACACTCATACCCCTGGGGATGCAGTGGAAAATGCATTCACACATTGCAAAGAGAGGCTGTTTCCTTAGGGTGGAAAATAGTTATGTTGGGATTTTTCTTCCAAATTCATTCCTTTCTGCCATGGAGGAATGTCACAGTCTTTGCAACAAAGGGACACATATGAGAATGAAAAATACTTTTTGACCCACATCTTAGTGGCTTTTCAATCTGTTTCCTGCTTCTGAGAAGGTCACACAAAAATCTACCTACAGGGCAAAGGAAAACTTCACTGGCATTGAGGGCAGTGTAGTATAATTATAGGGAGGAGAGTTGTGTTTGCTTTTTTAAAAAAATAGAAGATTCTGTGTGGCCCTAGTAACTTATCCCTAAGGCCTGCTAAGCAGTGATCTGTTTCCACCACCTCTCTCAGGATTGGAGGAACAGGCCAAAGAGGCTAGATCACACTTCCAAGACTGTACAGACATGTCAGCAGAGCTGGGATCCCAATCCCAGGAATCTCGCTGCACACCTCTGCTTCCTCCCCATCTGTTGTTCTCCAGAATCTCTCAGTGGCCCTACCCTGGCCTCTGCCTGGTCAATGAAAGCTCACTTTGCAATATATTAGCTAATACTGAACAACAGAGCCAGCAGTAAAAAGGAAGATAAATGAAAGAATAAATATAAAGTAAAATACAGTAGAAAAGCAGTACATGTGAAAGCATTGCTCCCCATAACCTACAAGGCAGTTCCACAAGAGCAAAAGCCTGAAATTCACAGGCCCCTGTGCAAACCCACAACTGGGATGACACCCCCACTCAGGGAGACCAAAATGACCATAGGGCAGTTAAAAGAGGGCGAGGCTAGCTTTCATGGATGGACTACTTCATTTATCCTTCAAACGGTTTTCCTCTTATCAACTTTCAGCTTCTTCAATCCCACTGTTGTTGAATCCCACAGAGTTTTCACAACAGTGGATTGAAAACGGAACACATGGAAGGTGTTTCTGAAAATTCAAGTTGTGTGAAAAATCCAGGTGCCATAGTATATGGGGCCTGGCTTGGGCTGGGGCAAAAAGAAAATCAGTGTTTTGGGAAAAGCAGAACAGCCTAATTAATTTCATCAAAATGAATGAGCAGAGAAGAAGGAAACCACAGAAACAGGAATAGAATAAGGATGTCCCAAGCAAGGCGCCTAACCCAATCCTAGTTCAGAGGCCAGGTCTCTAAGGATCGCATTTCTAATTTCCATTGCACTTTTGTTTTAGGAAGTTCACAAATGAAGTAATGATCCATTAGATAATGGTTTTATGAGACAGACTAGTGGTGGGGAGGGACAGGTGGCAAATAGACCAGTCAGGAGAATAAGTAATAATAAGGTCTTAAACCCAAAAAGTGGCATGGAGGAAGAAGGGATGGGTTAAAGCCACATTTGAATCTTGCTACTCAAAGTGTGGGTCTCTAACCAGCAGCCTCACATTTTCTGAAAGCCAGATAGAAACGCAGAATCTCAAACCACATCCCTGGCCTGCTGAATAAGAATCTTTATTCTAACAGATAATTTATATGCACATGAAAGTTTTAGGATAATTGGTTTAGGGGACAGTATCAGTATGGCTTAGTTACCCTTTCGATGTTGAGAGAGCAATTCAAGGTGACTCCCAGATCACAACTCTCTAGAAAGTACCTAATAATATGCTAACCTAAATAAATATTAATCCAAACAGTGACATTATATAGCTGGAAATGCATGATAAGTGTCACATTCATCAAAAAAATTGAGGCTTATTCCTGAGAAACTAGAAAATATTTATTTCTTCCTAGGGCATAAGTAGGAGATCAATGTTTAGTGCAGCAAAGGGCACATTTAGGGCAATGATGGAGATAAGATTTGAGGCCAAAGTCCAATATTCTAAAGAGTTAACATTCAACTCTGTAGGTAATGAGAAGCCATTTGGTTTTTTAAATTGAGATGATGTGGTGTCAAAATGGAAAAGTGAGAGAGAAGTTGTGAGCAAAAAATTAACGAGAGCTGAGGAAAGGTGAGCTGCGGAGGGTGAAGGAGAGTGAAGAGTCAGTGATGGCCTGGAATAGTTAGGCTAGGTAGATAGGGGAATAAGAGAGCCATTAATAGACTAAGAAGAGAAGTTGCAGTGTTTAGACAAAATAATGATTTTGATTTTGGTGCTGAGTTCAAGATGAAGGGTACAACAGAAGGCTACATGAAACTGTTTGGAATGCTGCTGGAAACATCATACAGAATTCAGGAACGCAACCACAGTTAGGAATATACATTTATGAATCACTACAGCAGCAATGATCATCATAGCCAGGCAAGCAGGTGATATCGGAGAGGAAATTCAATCAAGAGCAGAATAGAGGGCTGCCCCAGGAAGACATCAACACTAGAGGATAGGAAACCCCTAAAGGAGTCAGAAGATGTGCATTTGAGGAACTAGGAGACCTGCGGATGATTAGTTTGGAAACTGAACTTCACCAGACTGTCTAGGCACACTGTTTTTCAAACTGGAAATTTTGACCCAATAGTGCATTGTGAAGTCAATTTTATAGGTATCAACTATAGTTTTTAATGAAATAGAAATCAAAATGAAATTTAATATATCAGAGTCATTTCATGTAGCAAAGGTTAGCAGTGATCTAAGAAATTTTCACTTCAATGCATGAACATACACTTGTGTACCTACTGGGAATGTGATATAAGTGCTTTCCTTAAAAAAAAAAAAGTTTGTAAATATGTTGTTTTGGATGTAGTGTCCACATAAGATCTGTATAAGAATAAACATCTGAAATCAACTAATGAGCAAACTGAAAGCACTTCATCTCCCATACGCAGTGCCAAGGATCCAGACATCGAGTCGCTCATGTGCATGTCACCAAGAGGCTCTTGATTTTTGGTTTATTCAGTGGTTACATGTCTGCAGCGCTGGTCCACTCTCATCATTGCTGCTCTGCCACTTGTCTGCTCCCACAGCGAAGCATGAAGAAAGAAGTAAAACCTATCAGAGCCGAGGCAACTACTCTGTCAACCAACTGCTAAGCCCACAAAAAGCAAAAGCTTAAGCTGCTAAAACTTAAACAACTAAGAAGGCATTCAGTTACTTCCACTCCAAGAGCCAAGCCCATTGTATTGAGTGCGTGAACTGGGGGCCCACAGTCAGTGCCTTTGGAGTGCAAGACTGCCTTCTGCTGGATGTGCACATCTGACACCCATGGTTCTGGTAGCTGCACTGATTTTATAGAATAGGACTTCTTTTCATTTTTTATTTTTTATTTTTTTTTGATGGAGTTTTGCACTTGTCCCCCAGGCTGGAGTGTAGTTGTACAATCTCAGCTCACTGCAACCTCCACCTCTTGGGTTCGAGTGAGTCTCCTGATTCAGCCTCCCAGGTAGCTGGGATTACAGGCATGCCACCATGCCTGGCTAATTTTTGTATTTTTAGTAGAGACGGGGTTTCACCATGTTGGCTAGGCTGGTCTCAAACTCCTGACCTCAAGTGAGCTGCCTGTCTCAGCCTCCCAAAGTGCTAGGATTACAGGCATGAGCCATGAGTCACTGTGCACGGCCTGAAGAGGACTTCTTGGGAGGGCACTGTTTTCTTAGAGTGTAAACTCATAACATCATCCCCCATTGTTTGAGCTTCCCTATGGGATGCCCAGGGGAGATAGAAAGTAGAAGTGCCAGAATGTCCTCCAAATGGATGTCCCCATGTTTACATCAATGAAAGAATCATTTCAGAAATTTTTGCAGAACATCTTGCTCCAAGAGAGTTATAACAGCCAAAGGCAAAGTGGAACCGCCCACATCCTATCTATTTTCATACTGTAGGATAACTCAGTTAAGATTCTAGAGGTCACAGTTCACGTCCACTCTCCTTTTCAGAAAAAGCTAAGCTTAAACTATTGGCAAATTTGTAAATATCCTCTCGTTAAGATTTTAGCAAAACACAACAGAATTGCAACAGTTCAATTTACGTCTTCAAGTTGAAGTAAATTTTAAGAGCCATTACAGAGGAGTCTTGAATATTTATCACCCCTATTTAGGGAGCACCTATAAATGCCAAGCAGCAAGCTAAATGTCCTATATACATCATTATACATCACATTTGATCTTCACGGGAATGCTAGAGGGTGAAATTATTAGTCTTGGTTTACAAACAGCAATAATGAAGTTCACAAAGGTTAAATAATCTTCCCAAGTTTCAGCAGCTAGCAAGAGGCAGTATTCACTGGACTTGATGGCTCATGCCTGTAATCCCAGCACTTTGGGAGGCCGAGGCAGGTGGATCACAAGGTGAAGAGTTCAACGCCAGCCTGGCCAAGATAGTGAAACCCCATCTCTACTAAAAACTACAAAAAATTAGCTGGGCATGGTGGCAGGCCCCTGTAATCCCAGTTACTTGTGAGGCTGAGGCAGGAGAATTGCTTGAACCCAGGCAGTAGAGGTTGCAGTGAACCAAGATTGTGCCACTGCACTCCAGCCCGGGCAACAGAGTGAAACTCCATCTAAAAAAAAAAAAAAAAAAAAAAAAAGAGGCAGCATTAGCTATAAGTCTACCTCTGGGTGAATTTAAATCTAGTGATCCTAAAGTCTTCTCTCTACTTTTAACATAATTCTAGAAAGAATCTAAAATATCTCTCTGTGCAATATTTTTATCTTTCAAATAAGGATTGTGGAGATCAAAAGGTTAGATGACTGGTGCAAGGTCAGAGGATTCATACATCACAGAGCCAATGAGGCAAACAACTTGTCCAGCTTGAGTCCACTGTTTGATTCAAGATTCTACATAGCACAGTGTGGTACAGCTTAAGCGGGTTTAGATGTTCAATGGTGGTCATGGAGACAAAGACAAAGAACTCAAGGAGAAGCAAGTCACAGGCATCTTTGAGTGGCAGGACTGAGTTGCTAAATTAGGAATTAGAGGGCTTGGGTTTGAAGCTTGGAGCAGCCACTTTTCTGCTTCTGGGTTCTGGGTTTACTTGATCTCTCTGAATCTCATAGCCTTTCTCATTTATAAAGTGGGTATAAGATCTAACTGATGGGATGGTGTGAAGAGTGAGATAAAGTAAAATTTAAATTAAATTACGTTAAAAAGCTTACTAGAGCCCCTGAAATGTAATATTATTAGGTTGGTCCAAACGTAATTTTTGCCATTAAAAGTAATGGCAAAAACCACAATTACATTTGGACCAACCTAATAACTTGAATGTCATTCTTGGATCATGGAAGGTGGAATGGGTACCAAGTGAGGAAGTGGGTTTATCTCTGTATATGTGTTTGCAGGCAGTGAGCCTGCAGGGTCATCATTCACCAGTCAGGAGAGGTCACTGGAGAAAAAATGTGCTCCTATCCCTGGGTACATGGAGGAAACATAGGACCAAACTATCTCTTGGAAGTCAGATATTCTGTGGCACAGATGGCCTAGATATAGCAATGCCACCCATATTAGTTATCAATTGCAGTGTAATGTTACCACAATTGTAGCAGCTTGAAGCAATATTCATGTATTATCTCACAGTTTATATGGGGCAGGAATCCACTTAGGTGGATCCTCTGCTTACGGTCTGACAAGGCTGCAATCAAGGCATCAGCCAGGGCTGAGTCTTCATCTTGAGGCTCAACTGGGGAAGGATGTTTCCCAACTCAAACAGGTTCTTGGTAAAATACCTTTCCTTGCAGTGCCAAGGCCAAGGACACTGCCGGCTTGCTGTATCAACAGACAGTAAGACCACTCTGCATTTCTAGAGGCTACCTGCAGTTTCTACAAGCCACCAACTGTTCTTTGCAATGGGGGTTTCCCCAACATTACTGCTTACTTCATCAATGAGGAAAGTTTCTATAGAGAGTACATATGCAATGACCTCTTATAACACAATTATGTAATATAATCACAGGGGTGACCAGGGATGACATGTCCTTACCTTGCCATATTCTGTGGGTTAAAAACAAGTTTCAGCTCTTTCCCATCCTCAAAGGCAGGAAATAACATAAAGGTATAAACAACAGGAGGTGAGGATCATGGCAGGGGGCCACCTGAGAGTCTGTCCCCCACCCAAAGCTTCTTGCAATGTTTAGCATCCAGATACCAGCAACCTAACATTCACTTCACCAAGACTTGACCCTCCCCAGACGTCCCCTTTTCAGAGAGTGGAAATACTATCTTCCCAGAAGTTGAACATGCACCCTTAACACCACCTGCCCTTTCCACCTAGATCTCCATCATTTCCTCAAACACCACTTTGTAACTTCTAGAGAGCTCTTAAGTTGTCCATTCCTTTTGATCTCTGCTGTTGTCACCCTAGCCTAAGCATGTGAGGGTCTGGTACTTTAATGAGAAATGTAATTTCTAGAGCTATTGGTCCTTGGTTGGAACATATATTTTAACTTCCTAGGTTATTCCTTAGGTATATTAGAAAATATAATTAAGCAAAAAGAAATGAAATAAATTAAAATCACCCAAATATCTCTCACCCAACTACTGCTATAGCCCCAAAACTAATCTATCCATATCCACTCTGTATCTCCTTCAAGCTGTTCTCCAGTCTGCAACTAGAGTGGTCTTCTCAATCAGAGGCTCAGATTTGAGCACCCTCACATTGCTACCCCACATCCACTCTTGCTCTGGATAAAAAATCCAAATCTGAAACATGGACCAGGAGGCCCTACTGAATCTGGCAGATGCCACCCTCTCCAGCTTTGTCCCACACCACTTTCTCTTGCTTTCTATACCTCTGCCCCACTGTTCTTTTTCCAAGACCTAGAGCATGTACCCATGGCTTGTCCTTTGACCTTGCTAATGCTGCAGCCTAAAATGCCCTGGGCCTTTCTCCCCTTCTTTACCTGTATCTCATACTTTATCCTTTACATCCTAACTTAGGTGTCATTTCCTGTAGAAAGACTCCCTTGACCCCTAGTCCTCTGTTAGGTACATTCATCCTTTTTTCCTCTTTTCTCATTGCACAATTTAGTTTGCAGTTATTCACTCAGTTGTGTGATTGTTTTATTAATTTCTGTCTCCTCTTCCACTCTGCAAGCTCCAGAAAATAGGAAACATGTTTTGTTTTCTACTATTCTACCCCTACCACTTAGTCTTATTTGAACACAGATAACCATCAAATGTTTGCTAAACCTTTTTCAAAAGCTAGGCACTGGTCTAAGAGCCTTAGTTATATTATTCTTTCGTTCAACAAATATTTACTGAGGACCTGCTATGTGTCAAGACAAACTGATAAACCAAAGACTCTTACACCCAAAGAGCTTATGTTTGAGGGAATTAAAGTGAAAGAAATAGCCAATAGACAAAAGTATTTTTGAAAAGCCCACTAAATTAGTATTCTTAGATGTGATAAATGCCATGGGGAAAAAAAGAAAAAACAACAACAAGGTAAAGAGATCAGCTGTAGAGGAATGGGTTACAAGATTTAAAAGGTTGGCTGGAGTAGACTTCTTTGATAAAGCAACATATAAATAAAAATATGGAGAGGAAGTGGTTGTCATGCAATTATCAGGAGAAGCATCTGCTGAGCTGAGGGGACAGCCAGTACAGACACTGTAAGGTGACAATAGCCCTGACCTGTTCAAGGAACAGTGAGATGGGCAGGGCTGCTAGAGTTGAGGATGACAGGAGTGGAGCAGGACTGAGATGAGGTAGGTACTATAAGGGCTTTGGCTTCACCGTAAGTGGAGGATTCTCTACTGGATTTTGAGCAATGATTTAGCATGTTTTAAGAAGACTTCTCTGACAACTCTACATTTTTTTTAAAGGACTAGGAAGACAAGAGTAGAAGCCAGAGACCAGTAGAAAGCCATGTGGAGCAAACTAAACACAGCAACAAGTAAAAAGGATTACACACAGGAGTAAATGGGATTTAGTCCAGGAATGCAGGGTTGGTTTGACATCTGAAATTCAGTCAATGTAGTAACCCACCATAATAACAGAATAAAGAATTTGAAAATACCTGATCATCTCAAAACACGCAGGAAAAGTATTTGATAAAATCCATCATATTTTTCTTACAAAATTATTCAATAAGATGGAATCAAAGGAAACTTCCTCAAACTGATAAAGTGGCCTATAGAAAATCCACAGTTAATATGATACTTAATGAAGAAAGATTGAATGCTTTTCCCCTAAGATCAGAAATAAGATAAAGATACATATTCTGCTACCTCTGCTTAACATTATACTGGAGATTGTAGTCAGGGCACTTAAGCATAAATGAATAAATAAATAAATAAATAAATAAATGGCATGTAGTTTGGAAAATAAGAAATAAAACTATGTCTATTTGCAGATGGCGTGATCTTGGGTACAGAAAAATCTTAGTCACTAAAAACTATTAAAACTAATAAACAAGTTTTGCAAGGTGGCCATGATAACAGATTAACATACAAACGTCAATTGTATCTCTATACATTAGCAATGAAAATTCAGAAATGATTTTGTTTAAATCCCACTAATCTTAGCAGCAAAAAGAGTACAATTCCTGGTAATCAATTTAACAAAAGGCATCCTTTTATACTGAGAACTAGAGAACACTTGAAAAAATATTGCTAAAGATTGAAATAAATAGAAATCACACAAGTATCATTTTTCACCTAACTATTGCAGTAGTCCCCAAAATGACACATCCATATCCACTCTAGGACCCGTTCAAACTGTTCTTCATGGTACAATTGGAGTGATCTCAAGAAGCACGTGGATATGTTTTAGATTTAGAACTGATGGGATTTCTTGACAGATTGCTGTGAGATTGCTGAGAAAATACTAGCTCAGTTACTTCTCATAACAATCGCCATTTTACAGATGAAGAGACTAAGAAAGGTAACTTAACCTGCCTGAAGTAGCCATGTTAGAAAGCAGCAGATCTGGAACTTCACTGGGCATCTGTCTCACTGCAATGTCAGGTACTTAACACCTGCTGTCCAACACCACATTGAGCACTGGCACTAGCGAGCTTTTTTGGAGAGATTTCAGAAAGAAGGAAGAAGGTGGCCCTAGAATTTAATCCTAGAGCCTCACTAGAGTTGGCAGTGGGACAAGGGGTTGTTGCAGCGGAAAAAGAAAGTGAAGAACCAAAGGAGTTAGCCAAATAACAGGTGGATAAAGCAGGAGGACCTTTAAAAGGGATTGAACATGTTGTTTAGAATACCATCTGCTACAGCGCCGGCCTCCTGCCTGAATTGAGAGGGACTAGCAGGATGCATAAAATCACACACACACACACACACACACACACACACACACACACACGCATACATATACACTCACACACACACACAGAGCCAGGTGACCAAGAAAAGTGGTAACACACGGATCTTGCTAACCACCATTTTCAAGGGAGAGAGGAGAAAACAGAAACAGAAACTGAGATGGCTTCTGCATGCTGAAAGGAAAGAAAAAGCATAATAAACATATGGTGCAGAAATGGAACCAGATCCTGTGCCCAGGATGGAGCTCGTCCATTTTTCTTTGGAAACAAAGAACCTCCTCCCCTACAACTCTATCCAGATGCTGTCAAAGACAGATGCAGGAATCCTCATCAATCACGGGAAATTTTTTTAAGAGAAAATGAAACCCAGATCTCAGACTGGTTTGGTTACGAACACTCAGCAGGGAGTGTGACAGAGGATGGCTACTGCCTGAGATAGAACCAGGAGCAGAGCACCACAATCGAGGCTGGGAGGGCCCCATTCTGCCTGGCTTGTCATAAGCAGAGACTCTGCAAAGGAGAAATGGTTTTGAAGTACTTCCAAATTCACAAGCAACAGCATCAGAACAAGGGCTCAGACAAAAGCTTTTGGGAATCCCCAGCACTGGGAAGGAAAAAGCTAATGTCTGAGGGGAAAGGAGCAGACCGGGATTGCAATAAGTTCTCACAAACAAGAGAGTCTCTTTCTACATAGAGGTGTGACTCTCAAGTTAGCACTTAAGGCAAACATTACCCTTAAAATAATTTAACTTCCTTAAACAATTCAAAAGTCCATTATACATGGATGTACAACTATAATCCTATACTGCAATATGTATATAGAGAGGTATAATGAGTAAATAATATAATTAAGCATATATATGCAAAATAGAATTCTACAGAATGTTTGCTATTTGACTACAATAGAATATTCACTATACCACACACTTAGTTGAACTCTTATAAGTCAAATGTACCTATGATATAATCCACTCTTGAAATATCTGGCAGCACAAAAGAAAAGATGTGATATCCTATCTCAATGCACAGCACAGAGCAGGCACCCAGCAGACAGTTTCTGATTCAATAGATGAACAAAAATGTATCTGATTTTGCTCCAGTTAAAGAGCACATTGAAGACAAACCTGACTGTTATCTGTCCTGTTTGATTGAGATGTAACATGGCCATATGCGGTACCAAGGCTTAGCACCTTCCAGCATGAATGCAACTAGCATTTCAAAACGTTGTCATTCATACAAAGACAAATATTGTGCAATTCATTCCACTTACATGAGATACCCATAAAATGATGAGAAATAGAGACAGAAAGTAGATCAGTGGTTACCAGGGGTTGAGGGGAAGGGGAGTGGGAAGTTATTGCTTAATGATTACAGACAGAATTTAGGGGGTAACAACAAAGTTTTGACAGTAGATAGTGGAAATAGTTCTACAATATTGTGAGTATAATTAATGACTGAATTGTACACTTTAAAAGGTTTTAAACGGCAAATTTTAGGTTATGTATCTTTTATAATAAAAAAATAACAAAAAGAGTTATTCTTGTATTTGATGACTAACTAGTCATCCCTCTTTTTAAAAGTTGCTTGGGTCTGTGGGAAAGAGGGGTACAGTGTGGCAAAGACCTACAAAGTGCTCCCTCACTTGGCAGGACATAGAATAGCAACAGAAAAGTTCACCAGCGATCACTGAGACCAGTGATTTTCAAACTTGAGCATGCACTGTGCCTCAGACTCCTTGGAAGGGCTTGTTAAAACACAGAGTTTTAAGCTCCAGCCCCGAAGTTCCTGACACAGGAGGTCTAGGGTGGGACCTGAGAAACTGCACTTCCAACAACCTCCCAGGTGTTGCTAATGCTATGGTCTAGGAATCTCACTTGTGAAACACTGACTGAGGCAGTGGGTGCTCAGTAGATCTGACCAAGGGACTTCCTTAGTAAGAAGTGAAGGGAGTACTGCTAAGCCATTTTTATTTCAGGTCAAATACTCAAGATCCTCCAGGATGCCTCCCAGTAGTTCCATGATTTGCGGAACTCCAAGAAAAGATTTCATAAACATTCTTCTTTCCTAAATAAAACTAAGGACTATCACCTAAAAAAAGAGATCTTTTAGTTTTGAGGAACTCTTTCCTAACTAAGGTCTGCGGTTCCAGACAGTAAGGGCAGTTATTCATTTTTGTACATATCACAAAGCCTTGCAATGATTTGGTGATCACTCCTTGATTGACAGGATTTATGATTCCCAGAATCCTTGTAGTGTTTAGAAATTAAGATCGTCATTAAAACTCAGATGATATGGGAAGACTTCAATAAAACTGTCGTCCAGGTACAGTGGCCCATGCCTGTAATCCCAGCACTTTGGGAGGCCGAGGCGGGTGGATCACCTGAGGTCAACAGTTCGAAACCAGCCTGGCCAACATGGTGAAATCCTGTCTCTACTAAAAATACAAAAATTAGCCAGGCATGGTGGTATACACCTATAATCCCAGCTACTTGGGAGGCTGAGGCAGAAGAATCGCTTGAACCTGGGAGGCTGAGGTTGCAGTGTGCCAAGATCACGCCATTGCACTCCAGCCTGGGCAACAGAGTGAGACTCTGTCCCAAAAAATAAAAAATAAAAATAACTGTCAATCCCACTTCTTTAAAGGATGGGATTTAGTACCAATGAAGTTCAACATGGGCTATAATCTCTCAGAGAACTCCAGGCATGCTGAACTACCTGAAATTCTCATTAACACACATGTTCTTGCATTTCACCCCAAGGTTGAAAGGGAATTTCTCTCATTCTTTAGAAAGCCTTTTCCCCTTTGGCCCTTTCCCAGCTAGCAAACTTTTCCTCCCCTATCTACTCACCTTATATCATCCAGCTCAATTCCAGCTCCCCCGCTTCCTGAGTTCCAGACTCCATAAAGTTCTTCCTTCTCTGAGTTCTCATCACACTTTCTAATTTTCTTTATTATAACATTGTTTACGGTAACATGGAAATTGCGTATTTATGTATCTGACTTCACATTAGTCTAGAAGCTCTTTGAGGACAGCAAATATAATCTTTAAAATCTCAGCACTTATCATAGCACCTGCTATACAGTAATTTATAAATATATGTTTGGTGAGTAAATAAACTAATCATTGAATAGATTGCAACAGTTGTCTGCTAAACTTAAATATACCTCAATGTTAACTCCACACTACTTCTAGAAACCACATAGAAGGTGTACTACAAAGACAAGCCTTTTTTTAAAGAGAAAATAAACAAGAATTCCAGGAGACAACTCTTAAAACTCAACAGGATTCTGTTCCAAGATGGCCGAATAGGAACAGCTCTAGTCTGCAGTTCCCAGCGTGAACAACACAGAAGACGGTGATTTCTGCATTTCCAACTGAGGTGCCTGGTTCATCTCATTGGGACTGGTGGGACAGTGGGTATAGCCCATGGAGGGTGAACTGAAGCAGGGTGAGGCATCTCCTCACCCAGGAAGTGCAAGGGGTCAGGGGATTTCCCTTTCCTAGCAAAGGGAAGCCGTGATGCCCTGTACCTGGAAAATTCGGACGCTCCCACCAAAATACTGTGCTTTTCCAATGTTCTTAGCAAATGGCACACCAGGAGATTATATCCCATGCCTGGCTCGGCAAGTCCCATACCCACAGATCCTTGCTCACTGCTAGCACAGCAGTCTGAGATCGACCTGTGAGGTAGCAGCCTTGCAGGAGGAGGGGCATTCGCCATTGCTGAGGCTTGAGTGGGTAAACAAAGTGGCTGGGGAAGCTTGAACTGGGTGGAGCTCACCGCAGCGCTGCAAGGCCTGCTGCCTCTGTAGACCCCAGCTCTGGGGGCAGGGCGTAGCTGAACAAAAGGCAGCAAAAACTTCTGCAGACTTAAATGTCCCTGTCTGACAGCTCTGAAGAGAGCGGTGGTTCTTCCAGAACAGTGTTTGAGCTCTGAGAATGGACAAACTGCCTCCTCAAGTGGATCCCTGACCCCTGTGTAGCCTAACTGGGAGACACCTCCCAGTAGGGGCCAACTGACACCTCATATAGGTGGGTGCCCCTATGGGACAAAGTTTCCAGAGGAAGGAACAGGCAGCAATATTTGCTGTAATGCAATATTTGCTGTTCTGCAGCCTCCGCTGGTGATACCCAGACAAACAGGGTCTGGAGTGGACCTCCAGCAAACTCCAACAGACCTGAAGCTTAGGGACCTGACTCTTAGAAGGAAAACTAACAAACAGAAAGGAATAGCATCAACATCAACAAAAGGACATCCACACCAAAACCCTATCTGTAGGTCACCAGCATCAAAGACCAAAGGTAGAAAAAACCACAAAGAAGGGGAGAAACCAGAGCAGAAAAGCTGAAAATTCTAAAAACCAGAGTGCCTTTTCTCCTTCAAAGGATTGCAGCTCCTCACCAACAACGGAACAAACCTGGACGGAGAATGACACTGACGAGCTCACAGAAGCAGGCTTCAGAAGGTCAGTAATAACAAACTTCCCTGAGCTAAAGGAGGATGTTCGAACCCATCTCAAGGAAGCTAAAAACCTTGAAAAAAGATTAGACGAATGGCTAACTAAAATAAACAGTGTAGAGAAAACCTCAAATGACCTGATGGAGCTGAAAACCATGGCACAAGAACTACGTGACACAAGCTCAAGCTTCAATAGCTGATTAGATCAAGTGGAAGAAAGGGTATCAGTGATTAAAGATCAAATTAATGAACTAAAGCAAGAGGAGAAGTTTAGAGAAAAAAGAGTAAAAAGCGACGAACAAAGCCTCCAAGAAATATGGGACTATGGGAAAGACCAAATATACATTTGATTGGTGTACCTGAAAGTGACAGGGAGAATGAAACCAAGTTGGAAAACACTCTTCAGGATATTATCCAGGAGAATTTCCCCAACCTAGCAAGGGAGGCCAACATTCAAATTCAGGAAATACAGAGAACACCACAAAGATACTCCTCGAGAAGAGCAACCCCAAGACACATAATTGTCAGGTTCGCCAAGGTTAAAATGAAGGAAAAAATGTTAAGGGCAGCCAGAGAGAAAGGTCAAGTTACCCACAAAGGGAAGCCCATCAGACTAACAGCGGATCTCCTGGCAGAAACTCTACAAGCCAGAAGAGAGTGGAGGCCAATATTCAACATTCTTAAAGAAAAGAATTTTCAACCCAGAATTTCATATCCGGCCAAACTAAGCTTCATAAGTGAAGGAGAAATAAAATCCTTTACAGACAAGTAAATGCTGAGAGATTTTGTCACCACCAGGCCTGCCTTACAAGAGCTCCTGAAGGAAGCACTAAACATGGAAAGGAACAATCAGTTCCAGCCACTGCAAAAACATGCCAAATTGTAAAGACCATCAATGCTAGGAAGAAACTGCATCAACTAATGGGCAAAATAACCAGCTAACGTCATAATGACAGGATAAAATTCACACATAACAATATTAAAATTAAATGTAAATGGGCTAAATGCCCCAATTAAAAGACACAGACTGGCAAATTGGATAAAGAGTCAAGACCTATCAATGTGCTGTATTCAGGAGACCCATCTCACATGCAGAGACACACACAGGCTCAAAATAAAGGGATGGAAGAAGATCTACCAAGCAAACGGAAAGCAAAAAAAAAGCAGGGATTGCAATCTTAGTGTCTGATAAATCAGACTTTAAACCAACAAAGATCAAAAGAGACAAAGAAGGCCATTGCATAATGGTAAAGGGATCAATACAAGAAGAGCTAACTATCCTAAATATATATGCACCCAATAGAGGAGCACCCAGATTCATAAAGCAAGTCCTCAGAGACCTACAAAGAGACTTAGACTCCCACACAATAATAATGGGAGACTTTAACACTCCACTGTCAATATTAGACAGATCAACGAGACAGAAGGTTAACAAGGGTATCCAGGACTTAAACTCAGCTCTGCACCAAGCAGACCTAATAGACATCTACAGAACTCTCCACCCCAAGTCAACAAAATATACATTTTTCTCAGCACCACATCACACTTATTCTAAAATAGACCACATAATTGGAAGTAAAGCACTCCTCAGTCAATGTAAAAGAACAGAAATCACAACAAACTGTCTCTCAGACCACAGTGCAATCATATTAAAACTCAGGATTAAGAAACTCACTCAAAACCACACAACTCCATGGAAACTGAACAACCTGCTCCTGAATGACTACTGGGTACATAATGAAATGAAGGCAGAAATAAAGATGTTCTTTGAAACTAACGAGAACAAAGACACAACATACCATAATCTCTGGGACACATTTAAAGCAGTCTGTAGAGGGAAATTTGTAGCACTAAATGCCCACAAGAGAAAGCAGGAAAGATCTAAAATCGACACCCTAACATCACAATTAAAAGAAGTAGAGAAGAGCAAACAAATTCAAAAGCTAGCATAAGGCAAGAAATAACTAAGATCAGAGCAGAACCGAAGGAGATAGAGACACAAAAAACCCTTCAAAAAATCAATGAATCCAGGAGCTGTTTTTTTGAAAACATCAACATAATTGATAGACTACTAGCAAGACTAATAAAGAAGAAAAGAGAGAAGAATCAAATAGACACAATAAAAAATGATAAAGGGGATATCACCACCAATCCCACAGAAATACAAACTACCGTCACAGAATACTATAAACACCTCTACACAAATAAACTAGAAAATCTAGAAGAAATGGATAAATTCCTGGACATATGCACCCTCCCAAGACTAAATCAGGAAGAAGCTGAATCTCTGAATAGACCAATAACAGGCTCTGAAATTGAGGCAATAATTAATAGCCTACCAATCCAAAAAGTCCAGGACCAGATGGATTCACAGCCAAATTCTACCAGAGGTACAAAGAGGAGCTGGTATCATTCATTCTGAAACTATTCCAATCAATAGAAAAAGGGGCAATCCTCTCTAACTCATTTTATGAGGTCAGCATCATCCTGATAACAAAGCCTGGCAGAGACACAACAAAAAAAGAGAATTTTAGACCAATATCCCTGATGAACATCGATGCAAAAATCCTCAATAAATTACTGGCAAACCGAATCCAGCAGCACATCAAAAAGCTTATCCACCATGATCAAGTAGGCTTCATTCCTGGGATGCAAGGCTGGTTCAACATATGCAAATCAATAAACATAATCCATCACATAAACAGAACCAATGACAAAAACCTCATGATTATCTCAATAGTTGCAGAAAAGGCCTTCAACAAAATTCAACAGCCTTTCATGCTAAAAAAAAAAACTCTCAATAAACTAAGTATTGATGGGACGTATCTCAAAATAATCAGAGCTGTTTATGACAAACCCTCAGCCAATATCATACTGAATGGGCAAAAAACTGGAAGCATTCCCTTTGAAAAGTGGCACAAGACAGGGATGTCCTCTCTCACCACTCCTATTCAACATAGTGTTGGAAGTTCTGGTCAGGGCAATCAGGCAAGAGAAAGAAATAAAGGGTATTCAATTAGGAAAAGAGGAAGTCAAATTTTCCCTGTTTGCAGATGACACAATTGTATATTTAGAAAACCCCATTGTCTCAGCCCAAAATATCTTTAAGCTGATAAGCAACTTCAGCAAAGTCTCAGGAAACAAAATCGATGTGCAAAAATCACAAGCATTCCTATACACCAATAACAGACAAACAGAGAGCCAAATCATGAGTGAACTCCCATTCATAATTGTTACAAACAGAATAAAATACCTAGGAATCCAACTTACAAGGGATGTGAAGGATCTCTTCAAGGAGAACTACAAACCACTGCTCAACGAGATAAAAGAGGACACAAACAAATGGAAGAACATTCCAGGCTCATGGATAAGAAGAATCAATATCGTGAAAATGGCTATACTGCCCAAGGTAATTTATAGATTCAATGCCATCCCCATCAAGCTACCAATGATTTTCTTCACAGAATTGGAAAAATCTACTTTTTAAAGTTCATATGGAACCGAAAAAGAGCCTGCATTGCCAAGACAATCCTAAGCAAAAAGAACAAAGCTGGAGGCATCATGCTGCCTGACTTCAAACTATACTACAAGCTACAGTAACCAAAACAGCATGATACTGGTACCAAAACAGAGAGATAGACCAATGGAACAGAACAGAGCCCTCAGAAATAACACCACACATCTACAATAATCTGATCTTTGACAAACCTGACAAAAACAAGAAACGGGGAAAGGATTCCCTATTTAATAAATGGTGCTGGGAAAACTGGCTAGCCATATGTACAAAGCTGAAACTGGATCCCTTCCCTATATCTTATACAAAAATTAATTCAAGATGGATTAAAGACTTAAATGTTAGACATAAAACCATAAAAACCCTAGAAGAAAACTTAGGCAATACCAATCAGGACACAGGCATAGACAAGGACTTCATAACTAAAACACCAAAAGCAATGGCAACAAATGCCAAAATAGACACATGGGATCTAATGAAACTATAGAGCTTCTGCACAGCAAAAGAAACTACCATCAGAGTGAACAGGCAACCTACAGAATGGGAGAAAATTTTTGCAATCTACCCATCTGACAAAGGGCTAATATCCACAATCTACAAAGAACTTAAATTTACAAGGAAAAAATCAAACAATCCCATCACAAAGTGGGAGAGGATATGAAAAGACATTTCTCAAAAGAAGACATTTATGCAGCCAAAAGACACATGAAAAAATGCTCATCATCACTGGCCATCAGAGAAATGCAAATCAAAACTACAATGAGATACCATCTCACACCAGTTAGAATGGTGATCATTAAAAAGTCAGGAAACAACAGATGCTGGGGAGGATGTGGAGAAATAGGAACACTTTCTCACTGTTGGTGGGAGTGTAAACTAGTTCAACCATTTTGGAAGACAGTATGGCAATTCCTCAAGGATCTAGAACTAGAAGTACCATTTGACCCAGCCATCCTATCACTGGGTATATACCCAAAGAATTATAAATCATGCTACTATGAAGATACATGCACATGTATGTTTAATGCAACATTATTCACAATACCAAAAACGTGGAACCAACCCAAATGTCCAATGATGATAGACTGGATTAAGAAAATGTGGCAAATATACACTATGGAATACTATGCAGCCATAAAAAAAGGATGAGTTCATGTCCTTTATAGGGACATGGATGAAGCTGGAAACCATCATTCTGAGCAAACTGTCCCAAACACTGCATGTTCTCACTCATATGTCAGAATCGAACAATGAGAACACTTGGACACAGGGCAGGGAACATCACACAGAGGACTGTCGTGGGGTAGCGGGCAGGGGGAGGGATAGCATTAGGAGAAATACCTAATGTAAATGACGAGTTAATAGGTGCAGCAAACCAACATGGCACATGTATACCAATGTAACAAAGCCACACGTTGTGCCCATGTACCCTAGAACTTAAAGTATAATCAAAATAAAATTAAATTAAAAACTCAACAGCAAGAAAACAAGCAGGCTGATTTTTAAAATAAGCTAAAAACCCTAACAGACACCTTATCAAGAAGACATACAGATGTCAAAGCATAGGGAAAGATGCTTCACAGCATATGTCATCAAGGAAATGCAAATCAGAACCACAATGAAATACCAATACATACCTATTACAATGACTACAATCCAGATCACTGACAATACCGACGAATGGTGAGGATGGAGCAACAGGAATTCTCACTCATTGCTGATGCGAATGCAAAACGGTAACAACCACTTTGGAAGACAGTTTGACAGCTTCTTACAAAGCTAAACAAACTTTTATTATACAATCCAGCAATTGTGCTCCTTCGTATTTACCTAAATGGGTTAAAAACTCATCTCCACATGAAAATCTGCACATGGATGTTTACAGCAGTTTTATTCATAATTGCCAGAACTTGGAAGCAACTAAGATTTCCTTCAGTAGGTAAATGAATAAATAAACTTTGCTACATCCTGACAATGGAATGTTATTCACAACTAAAAGGAAATGAGCTATCAAGCCATGAAAAGACACAGAGAACCCTTAAGTGCATATTGCTAAGTGAATGCAGCCAATCTGAAAAAGCTACGTATGTGTGATTCCAACTAAATGACATTTTGGAAAAGGCAAATCTATGAAAAAATCAGTGGTTGCCTGGGGTTAAAGGAAGAAAAGGATGACATTACCCCCAACATAATAAAAGGTTCTGCCCTGTTTGACAGTGAATTGTTGAAGCACAGAGGATTTTTAGAGCAGTGAAATTACTCTGTATGATACTATAATGGTAGATTCATATCACTATAAATTTCTCCAAACCCAGAGAATGTACAACACCAAAAGTCAGCTCTGATGTAAACTATGGACTTTGGGTGACAATGAAGTGCCAATGTAGATTCAGAAATTGTAGGCTGGGCACGGTGGCTCATACCTGTAGTCCCAGAACTTTGAGAGGCCAAGGCAGGTGGATCACCTGAGGTCAGGAGTTCAAGACCAGGCTGGCCAACATGGCGAAACACCATCTCTACTAAAAACGCAAAAATTAGCTGGGCATGGTGGTGCACGCCTGTAGTCCCAGCTACTCGGGAGGCTGAGGCAGGAGAATTGCTTGAACCCAGGAAGCAGAGGTTGTAGTGAGCCAAGATTGCACCACTGCACTCCAGCCTGGGTGATAGAGTGAGACTCCGTCTCAAAAAAACAAAACTAAACGAACCAATGAATGAACAAATGAAAGAGCAAGCAAGCAAAGAGAAGAGAAGAGAAAAAAGGAAGGAAGGAAGGGGAAGGGGAAGGGGAAGGGGAAGGGGAAGGGAAAGGAAGGGAAGGTAAGGGAAGGGATCAATGCACCACTCTGATGGGAGACACAGATAACAGGTAGGGGGCTCTGCATGTGCAGGGTAAGGGGTATATGGGAAATCCCAGTATCTTCTGCTCAATGTTGCTGCAATCTTAAAATTGCTCTAAAAATAATACTGAGTAAAAATTAAAGAATACCAGGAGTGAGCTGGAATGGTGTGAGGAAGGACAGGGGGCAATGAAGGTACTGAGTTGGCAGGAGAATATGGTGCTAGGTAGTTTTCTTGGCTCCACTGAGTATTGGGACACAGAAAGCATAGAATGAGGATTCCTCTAAGTGGCTTGACAAGCTTAGAGCTCTTCCTAGTGAGGCTTCCAGAGCCACAGGTACAGTCCACCTGCTTTTTTCAGCCTCCCTATAAAGATCTTGGCTATTGTCCCAGACTCCTCATCCATCATAAGTCTCATCCTTCACTCTTTATCTAGGAGTGTCATGTAAAGTGTAATATCTTGCCAAGAGTGCAACATAAATAAATTTTTATTTTATTTTCAGTTTTGTTGCTTTTTCCTTTTGAATTATTGAATCATCACATCTATTGGATCCTAATCAAGTCTTTGCATAAATAAATAAAGAATGAATGAATAAGATGAGAGACAGGGACTTCTCCTTCAAAGTAAAATAGTAACATAAATTCATTTCCTTTCCCACAATACCCCATTAATTTCAGAATGGAAATACGAAGATGAGTAACTCCGTAACAATGGAGGTAATGGCAAGGGGAAGTCACCAGTCAAACAAATACCTCAACAAATTTTTGAAAGAAAAGACACAAAGGAAGTCTATTGACAGATTAAACAGAGTAAAGGTAGCCACAGTCCAAAAATAGCTGTGGTCAGGTAGCAAAGATGCTGAAGTCCAAGTAGGAGTCAATCTGTCAGTGAGAAACTCAAAAAGCCTGTGAGTCAAAATTCTATCCAACTATCCACTCCTCATCTGAAACACCACAGTTTCTTATACTTGAGAAATACACAGATACTGTGTATTTATAAAGACAAACAATATTTAGGTTGCCAGTTTCAGAAACAATGACCTTAGAAACTAGCCTTATAAAAATATTTTCAGCTATAAGTTATCAATGAAAAGTTTTCTATATATTTTTGGTAGGGTAGCACATTTGTGACTATCTTTAAAACGTAAGCATAACATTTTAAAATTGCTATCAAGCTCTCAGGCTCTTGAAAATGTGTTGATCTTAGATTTTCAAAAACGAATCTGTACCATGAAGCATTTCCTGATCCTCTATCCAGATGTGAACTCCCAACTTTTGGATTCCCCTCAGCATCTCAGTAACTTTTATGGTGATTAGCATCATCATCATCATCATCATCATTATCACTATCATTATTCTTTTTATTTTCAGAGACAGATTTCTTTTTGTCACTCAGGCTGGAGTGCAGTGGTGTGATCACAGCTCACTGCAGCCTTGAACTCCTGGGCTCATGCAATCCTCCAGCCTCAGCCTCTCAAGTAGCTAGAATTACAGGCATGAGCCACTGTGCCTGTCCTTATGGTGATTATTAAATAGTAATTTGTGCAATTGCCTCAGCCTCCTTATGCAATCTTAAACCCCTCCAGAGCAGGGATGGACCCTGATAACTCTAGAAGCACTTAGCACCAGGGCTTTGCCTGTGATAAGCCACTACAGTTCTTATCTGAATCAAAAATTTCCACAAGTTTCATATGGGTGAGATGGAGGGCAATTTTTCCAGTATGGTGACCCAGCTCCTTTCTGGATTCTCAGAAATATTATAGGAAATAAAAATATTGAAACTTTGGTATTTTAAGGATTATAAAACATTACCCCCAACATAATGAAAGCTTCTGCCCTGTTTGACAAAGCATTGTTAGTCAGTGGAATCCACTGAGTACTTGCAATGTGGCAGGTGCAATGTCAAGGTCCTTATTCACTCATTTCAATTGTTTTTACAACAAATCTGAGGCTGTCTCATTTTACTATGAAGAAACTGAGACTTAAGAAGATTAACTTTTTCAGTGCAGGTCTTCTGATCTCTATAGCACAAGGATATTCTTACAAATAATTGAGAGAGAAAAAAATAGACAAAAGGAAGAAGTGAGAAAATAGGGTCATATGACAGAGCCCCTTCCTCCTGTGCCTAACACAGGTTTACCTGTTTTTGTTTTGTTTTTTCAGACAGAGTCTCACTCTGTCACCCAGGCTGAAGTGTAGTGGCACAGTCTTGGCTCACTGCAACCTCTCCCTCCTGGGTTCAAGGGATTCTCCTGCCTCAGCCCCCAGAGTAGCTGGGATTACAGGCGCACACCACCATGCCTTGCTAATTTTTGTATTTTTAGTAGAGATGGGGTTTCACCATGTTGGCCAGGCTGGTGTCGAACTCCTAAGCTCAAGTGATCCACCCACTTGGTCTCCCAAAGTGCTGGGATTACAGGATTACAGGCATGCGCTCCCATGCCTGGCCACACAGGGTTTACTTGTTGCTGAACTTTCCTAATTGGTTAAATGGATGAACTCAAATTGGCCTTCTTTGTCTGCCAGCACCGCCCCCTACATGTGCCCAAACCTATCTGTCCTTGTGTGAGTTGCCTATAAAGGCCCTTTAAAGAGAAGGAACTTCTAACCCATTTAAATCCGTGCGGCCTACTGAAGTAGCTGACATGACAGATTCAGTTACTGAAGCTCCACATAAATGATTTTTGTCAATGAAAAGGATGCCCTAGATTCCCAAGGGGTCCTGAGAATTGGGCACATTAGTCTTTAATGCTGCACTGCTCCATTGTGCTCCCCTCTCCTCCCTCCAGCTGCCAGGTTTTGCACCATGGTGAGGTAGAGGTAAATGCTAGCTGCTATCACCTAATCTCTTGACTAAGCTTTCTCAGTGAAAACAACATCATAGACTCTGTGTTGAGAGGGAAAGGATCTGTCAACCCATTGAGTCACAGTGTTTTGTGATAACATCATCTCTGTGGGCTGAAAGGCATTTTCTATTCAAGATAGCTCCTACTCTGCCTTCAAATGTCTCAGACATGGCTTCAGGACACTGTGCTTGCTATATCTAGATTAAAAGACAAGAATGATAGTCAAATGATATCTGTAATCAACATCCTACCCAAGGTTGCCTTCCTAAATATGAAACTGCAAGAAACTTCTTTTTCTTCTTAAGGGTACAGAGATGGAGAAGATTTGAAAAATGTCATTATATCCTACATAGAACTTCCCATTATCTTTCCTAGGTCTTGATTGATCTATAGATAAGTACACAGTCGTTTTAAAACACTGGTAGCCTGGACTATTCCTATTCATTATTAAAATTATATTAACCAAGTAGAGTATAATGGTAATAATAGACAAGACTATTTATCATATATAATTATACATATTTATGCATGTGTATCATTGAATACATACTTTAATAAACTTATGATTATTAGTATAATTGTAATTATACTATTACTATATGCCTTGTACTTTTACTGTATGAAAACATTTGGATAGGAGTTTGAATAAGAAGACAATTTTATTTTCCAATTTAAAGAATTCATGATTCCTCGCCAGGCACAGTGGCTCACACCTGTAATCCTAACAATTTCGGAGGCCGAGACAAGTGGATCACCTGAGGTCAGGAGTTGGAGACCAGCCTGGCCAACCTGGTGAAACCTCATCTCTACTGAAATACAACAATTAGCCGGGCGTGGTGGCAGGTGCCTATAATCCCAGTTACTCAGGCGGCTGAAGCAGGAGAATTGCTTGAACCTGGGAGGCAGAGGTTGCAGTGAGCCGAGATCGCGCCATTGCACTCCAGCCTGGGTGACAAGAGCGAGACTCCATCTCAAAAAAAAAAAGAAAAAGAAAAAGGATTCATGATTGCTTAAAACAACACCATGATGGGAGCAAAAAAAAAAGGGGGGGGGGGGTAGGGGTCTATTACTCTAGAGTAGGATATAATGCAACTAAAAAGTGCTATAAAATAAACACCTTTAAACAATAAAGCATGGGAAACATCTCAGCTTCCAGTATCTGAAATCTGTGATAATTTGTAAGTCACTGTTGTACAGAAAAATGCCATAGATGGCATAAATGAGGTGCTAAAGATTAAGTGGACTTGGGAAAGATCTTCTTTCTTATAATTTGTTGAAATCAGGAAAGGAAGCTCACTAAAAAAATTTTAAGTCTCTGATCCATCAATTTAATGACACTGGTTCTTTTTCTTTTTTTATGTATATGTGCTGTCACCTAAAATAAATCCAAGCCTAAATGAGGCTTTAAATATGAATAAAAGAAAAATTAAATTGTCATAATTTTAAAAAATTAAATTGACAAATCTTCCAAAATACAGCTCTGGACCTTCAAACAACTGAGTCAACAAACTGAGACACGTGTATAACAATTAACAGCGTTTGCATGGAAATTGGATTTTCAGAATAATCTTTATGTTGTAAATCAATTCAATCCCCAATGGTAAACACAAGAATACCTTGGCTCTTGCAAACAGGACAGTTGTGCAAACTCACAGGCATGTTAGAATCACCCATGTTTATCTTCACAACCCCATTAATAGGATTGGATGGCTTTAGGGATTAAATGGCTTGACTAAGGTGACTTTTTGTCACTTTCAGAGTATTTGTTGATACATAAAATTAGATTCAAGTAATATAAATTATGAGAAATAATTTTCCTTATAAACACTACGCAAATTTTAAAAACTTTTATGGAGGCCAGAATCTTTCATGTTGCCAAAATCCTGCCTGTTGATTCATTAGTCAGATTTACTCAATTCAAGCCACGTAGCTAGAAGGAGAGTTCATCCAAGATGAAATAAGTCAGCTGCTGAGTAATGTCACAATTTCCGTAACAGTTCAGTGTCACAAATGAAAGAACAAAGTACTTGGTCCCCTAAAGAATGGGAAGTTAGCACTTCAGGTGCACGAGGACCAGACGGGGACCATCCAGCACATGGGTATTCATTAGTGCCCTATATTATCATGGCTTTTGAGAACTATTAGCCAATTACATTTTGCCATGGCCAAATGGCCAAATGTCTTGAGAGCCTCAGGAAGTTACATCTTCTTTTAAGGCAACAAACAGACACAGACAACCTGAAGTTCTAGAATAGCAGGTCCAAAATTATATATTTTGGAGATATATATATAATATGAGATGTTTCATGTTCAGATAAGTGTGGAAACCACTTCACGCAACATTCTCCCATACTGAAGTGGTTGAAAGAATTATAATACATCTACACAATCTATCTATATAACCTTTATAAAGAATGAGATAGGGCTATGTATTTTGTTAAATGGTAATACACAACTTGTATAACAGTAAGTAAATATCAATGTTAAAAAAATAAAAAGTAAACAAAGCATGTATGTATAATGATTAATGTATGTATACATACACAAACATATGCGTGCATTTGGTAAGTATTAAAGCGACTAGAAAACTACACCACAAATTATTTTTAGCAGCAATCTTCAAGGCTAGAATTGTCATAGAGAGAGGAATCTCATTTTTTTCTAGAAACTTCTGTTTTACTTTAATTTTTATCACATTGATATAGGTATTAGTCTTCTACAGCAATAATAATAAAATATCAAGACTAGGTGGCTTAAGCAATAGAAATTTATTTTCCCACCAGTCTAGAGGCTGGAAGTCCCACATCAAGGCCTGGGAGGGTCAGTTTCTGCTAAGGGCGCCCTTCTTGGCTTGCAGACAGCACTTTCTCACTATATTCTTACATGGCCCTCCCTCAACACATGCACACATACACACACACAGAAAGAGAGAGAGAGAGAGAGAAAATCTTCCTCTTCTCATGAGGCCATCAGTCCTGTAGGATTAAGATCTCACCCTTATGATCTAATTTAATCCTAATTACCTCCTAAAGACTCTGTCTCCAAATTCAATCACATTGGGGATTAGGGCATCAACATATGAATTTCAGGGGGACTCAGTTAAGGCTCTAGCATTCTGCCTCTGACCCCTTGAAATTAATATCTTTCTCTCTTGCAAAGTACATCCACTCCATCCCAACAGCTTCAAAAGTCTCACCTCATTTTAGCATCAGCACTAAAATCTCAAGTCCAAATTCTCATCTAATTATTGTCTAAGTCAAGTACGGTCGAATACAATTGTATTCAGAATACAATCTATTCTCAGGCAAATTTCTCCATAGCTGTGAGCTCATGAGACCAGAAAACTTATGTGCATTGAAAATACAATATTAGGACAGGTATAAGACAGGCATTCCCATTCCAAAAGTGAGAAATCAGACCAAAGAAAGAGATGACAAGTCCCAAGCATGTTCCAAACCTAGCAAGGCAAATTCTGTTAGATTTTAAGGCTGGAGCATAATCCTTTCTAGTTCAATGCTCTGTCACCCCCATGACTCTGTCAGTTAGAGATCCTGCCCCAACACTCCAGGAAGAGATAGCTTGGCCTCTTGAAACCAAGGCAGTGACCTCACCCAACCTTGCACCCTGGGCCTGTATACTCTGGGCTGTGATGTGAGTGGTAGCCTTGATCATCTCTGAATCATCTTTGGAGTCTTTCCTTTTTTTTTTTTAAAGAATAGCTCATGTTTTCAGTGAAATAGCTCTGTTGTTCTGTCCTGAAGCATCCAAGAATCTGACAGTCTTTCTTCACTTAGTTCCTTTTGCTCTATTCCCTTCAGTCCAAGCTGTTTTCTGCCCATATAATCTCATTATCTCTTTATCAAGTAATAGTCCAGCCATACTCTTAGTGTTCTCTTTAGAACATGCTTCCTCACTTTTTGCAACATGGATAGGCTGAGAATTTACTAAATTTTCAAGCTCTAGTTCCTTTTTGCTTAACAATTCCTTTGTCAATTTCTTTCTTCTCTAGAATTTTCTCTAAGCATTCAGGAAGAACATAGCCACATCTTCAACATTTTGCTTAGAAATCGCCTCAGGTAATTATCCAATTTTAGTGCCTGCCAGTTCTACTTTCCACAAAACACTAGAACACCCAAGTTATTTGCCACTTCATAACAACGATGGCTTTTCCTCCAGTTTCCAATAACTTGTTTCTCATTTCCATCTAATTCCTTGCCAGAATGGCTTTTGATGTCCTTACTTCTACCAACGTTCTTTCCATCGCGCTGCACTTATTCTGTAAGCAGGTGGAGGCTTTCTCTGCGTCTCTCCTCTTTCCTTTTTCAGTCCTCACCAGAATTGCCTTTAATGTCCATATTTCAACCAACAGTCCCTTCACAGCAACCTAGGCGTTTTCTGGCATGCACCTCAAAACTCCTCCAGCCTCCACCCATTACCCAGTTCCAAAGCTGCTTCTGCATTTTTAGGTTACAGCAGCACCCCACTTCTCAATACCAAAATCTGTATTTGTCAGCTCAGGCTGCCATAATAAAATGTCAGAGACTGGGTGGGTTAAGCAACAGAAATGTGTTTTTTCACAGTTCTAGAGGCTAGAAGGTCTGGCAGGGTTGGTTTCTGGTGAATTCTCTTTTCCTGGCTTGCGTTTAGCTGCCTTCTCAGCATGTCCTCATATGGCCTTTCGTGTGTGTGTGTGTGTGTGTGTGTGTGTGTGTGTGTGTGTGTGTGTGCGCGCGCGCGCACATGTGCACATTCGCATATGCAGGGAGAGGAGGAAAGAGAGAAAGGAAAATCTCTTTCTCTTCTTATAAGACCACCAGTCCTATAGGATTAAGGTTTCATCCTTATGACCTCACTTAACTTTACTCCTAAAGACCCCATCTTAAAATACAGTAACATTGGGGGTTAGGGCTTCAACATATGTACTTGGTGGGACACAATTCAGTCCATAGCAGTGTATTTCTTTAGAAAACGTTGTTAGTGATCTACTTGACACTTAATCCCACATAACTCCCTCCAATTTTGTGCAGGTATTACCCACCCCATGTGTATCCAGGTGCTTAAAGGAGAGCTCACCCCTTCTCCTTGCTGTTGATTGATGTAGGAATAAGGCTAATACCCAATTCTGTCCAAAGATACATGAGAAACAGTACATTTGGGGATTCTGAGACAAGTTTCTTCACACCTAAGGGCTCTAGGAACAAATGGCCACTCCTCTTCTTAAGGATATTGCTATTGTAGATTTCAGGACACTCCCTCTACCACTAGGTATGCAATCAACACTGAGTATGGCAGAGGCGAAGATGGAAAAAACTAAGCCTGTGATGCCATCACTGAGCCACTGAATCAACCAACCCTGACGTCCATCCTACATCTGAACTCAGTTGCATGAAATAAGATTTCTTTCTGCTTAAATCATTTAAGTCAGAATGCATGCTACATGCGGCCAAAGTCATCATAAATGATATAATTTATTTGAAATATTTAAAGTAGATCTCTGAAAAAAACTAAAAAATCACTTTCTTAAAAATGTACAACATATATTAGTATGCTAAAAATCAGATATCCTATGGTTTTTAAAAAATGTCTTATGGCATTTGAACTGAAGCTCCCCAAATTTATTTGACCACGAAATCTTTTTATTTTCTCCTCAGTAAGTCTTATGATCCTCAACAAAAGAGAATAGTTGTTGAAAGACGCCCCCACGGCAGAGCTTGGATAGACTTAGAAATATGGGCAAATGACAAACCTTGAGTTAAACAAAAAAATAAATAAAAAAGCAAAAATCCCCCAGGAGAGGAAATATTTGAGGGACTTTTAAAATCTTGCATAGCCAGTATCTATATTTTTGCTATCCTGCTCTGTGGTTTAGTTGCCATTTAAACCACGTTTTGCCAAAAGTCCTCAATAAAAAATGCTATATGGACATTTATTGGTGAACACTGAGAGTGACAGGATGCTGGATTTCCCACCAGATTTGGAGTCAAATCTCACTTTAATCTAAAGACATGGGAATCCCAGCAAGCCAGATGATTTGCAGACTTTTAAGAAGCTGTAATAGATATCCAATCTTTTTTATTTTCTAGGCATTATTTTGATAGAAAAATTACTTTGGGGAGCTTTTTATTCCCTGAATCTGATTAACAAAATAATGTTAACTGTGTGTTAAATGCAATAAAAACTACCAAACCCTGTGAAAAATAAACACTACAACATGACCTCACCTTCAGAACAGTTACAGCCAAGGACACACATGTATGTGTGTGTCTAATTTAGTCCAGGATGACTATATGCAAATTCAGCCAGTCAGAACACCCCCAACATGCCCTTCACCAAGGTACCCTTCAACTAGGAGTTATCATCGCCATGATTTTACAAGGATTTGTGGGATGTTATGATTAACATCTGTCTTTCCTATAGATCTATAAAACTCAGGACAGAGACCATATCTTTTTCTACTCATCAGTCCTTCCCCAGCACCCACAAAATACCCAGCCTATAGTAAGCTCTCAATAAATGCATGATGAAAAAGTGAATACATGAGTGAATAAGGCATTTAAAAACCCTCATAGATCAATTGAAGAAGTAAATCACTCATGCTTAGTGACTATAATAAAAGAATGAATTTATACCCATCATAAAATAGTGTCTACAGGTGGAAGAGAACTTGTCAGACAGTATATTTGTATCAAGTTCTACAGTAAGACCTAAATGACAAATTGTAGAAATATATATCTTTCCTTACATATGTCTTTTGCCTAAGACCTTGCTAGCTTATTCAGGTCTAGTTTGATGAGGTTGGGACTATGATTAAATCACCATAGTGTAAATTTTCAGACTCTGGCACTCCTGTTGGAACAGAGGGTTACCTGTTCTGTGCCTGAGTACTGGCCCATCTTCCCTCTTATACTAACTACCCAACACGGGGTCAGGAATTTATCTCATGATATATCTTGCCTGTTGGCTATCACCCAGGTTATCGTAGGAAAATAAGTTACACAACTGGTGAATGCTTCAGGAAGTTAGGTCTCCCAGTACACAGACACACAAACACAGAGAGCATCAATTTCCAGAATGCTCTACTTCTAAAACCATCATCATGGAAATCCTGAAGTACATTAAAAGGAACAGCATTCTGGATTGGAAAATGAAAGTAATGTTATGATCTAGCAAGGATAGTGGAAAGCAAAAGAACAGACATGGGAGAAAAGATCCCAAGACGCCCTCCACATAGACACTGTACTCTAGTAGCAGGCATCACTCTTTCTTTGCAAATGCTTAAGCATAGACCCAGACATCTTGATAAATGAGTAGGATCACGCAAAACACTGAGGAAGATGATTAAGGGAGTGGAATAATTGATATACGAGGAGAGAGGTTTTTGAAAAATCTAATTATAGAGCAGCCCAGCCAAACGATGAGTTCGCTGAGAAAGTGCAGATGTACTTCTGGGTTTGCACTCCGAAGAAAATCCCAGAGCAGAACGAGAACAAAATGAGTCGTTCCAACAGGATGTGAGTACGAGTGAAAGGAAGAAATTAAAAAACGGCAAAGTCAAGAGCAAGTATCAGGACAGAATTCCTCACAGGAGAATGTATGACTCTACAAAGATTCTGCCTCATGCCTGGCAGTCTCATTTTCAGAGACAGGACTCAGAAACTGACCCCGGTTATACTCTGCTATGCCTCTCTCTTGGCCTGATGGGCTTGCCAGAGAGGCTCTGTCATTTCCAATCAGTGTGATTGTTTAATGCAAACAGCCTTGTGTTTATGACAAGAGGTTGGTTAGAATAAACGTAGAAAATATTCCAAAATTCAAAGGTTTTGAACAGCCTCCAAAATTTGACTAAAGGAGTGACTTTCTCCAGGGGACACCTTGAGAGAATGCTTCAGACACCATTCTCTACACACTGGTCTTCTCCACTGAATTAAGAAACACGATCCCTTGTTCCAATGTCCAACCACTTCTCCTCAAGGCTTTCCAGAGCCCTGAATGAGAGACTCACAGATGCAGTCCCCCACTCTGTGCCTGTGTACAAGTCTCAAGCACCCCAAGCCTGACATTAAGCCAAAGCTACAAAGAGTGGAGAGGTGGTTTCATCTCAAGTGGGCTGCGGGGTCAAAATCAGAAAAAGACACAAGTGGGCCAGAGTGACACCTTCAGTTTGCCACCTTCTAATTTAGAAAAATGGATAAATGGGCTCTATTGCATCATTCCAGTCTCCAAAGAAGTGAAAAATTCTTCACCCAAAAGACCACATGCTCCCATTTCCATAATCATATTCTTTGGTCTCCATCTTTGTGCCTGTACTCTATCAAGTCCATTAGCATTTCATCTGGTCCTTTCGTTTCTTGGAAAAAATAATGCTTTGGGGAAGCTGGGCAAAAATAAGGGGCAAATTCACCCTCCTCTCAGTGACATCTCCAAACAGAACCAAGGAAACTGTTCCCATCTGGGGTGAAGAGGGTTCCCAAAGATTCTTTTGACACCCATCACAGTATCTGGTATGATCACATTTACTAATAAATTAAGGTGCTATCATTTCTGCAGTTATATTTATTTTTCTAAAAAATACTTTTTTTAATATTTAAAAATATTTTTGACTGAAAAATGTGAAATAAATTAAGTACAAAATTAAAATCTCTTTTTGGTGCTTATGTGTGCTTTCAATAGAAATAAATGGAATGGATGCATAATGGACAGATCACTAAATAAGATTATATATGTGTGTATATTTCCATATAGTCATGATCATACTATACAAAGTTTTATAACCTGTATCTGCATTTTTCACCTATATTTTCAGCATTGTGTTATGAATTCCAAATTTTTTCCTGACATCTGATTTTTAATGACTGAATAGTATTTGATTTTTCATATATACCACTACCTACTTCATGAACAGGCACTATGGTTCAATTTTTAAGTTATTTCTAATCTTTTAGCATTAGAAACAATGTTGTCACAAATACCCATGCATATAAATGTTTATTTTTAAATAAGAATTTTAATAGTGAAATTTCTGGGTCAAAGGAGTTAAACACTTTTATAGCTTTCAATGTGCATAGACAGCTTTAGTGTATGACCAGATCTGTTTAATCACAGCCTCGATACAAGTCAGGTTATCATTTTTTTTAGAATGGCCCATGTGATAGACAAAATTTACATGTGCACATACACATATGTATGTACATTGCATTATTGGATTCATGTTTTAAACTATATAAGTTTATAAACTTTATATTTCACTATATATTATTGAAAACATTAATATCTGTAATATATTTATATAAATATATAATAAAATGCTCCATTATATGTAAAAATTATATATACAGTATTAAAATGATCTATATTTTTAATATAAAATTATAAAAGCATTTTATTATAAATTTATAAATTATAAATGTACATGTATTTTTATATATGTGTGTGTGTGCATGTGTGTGTGTGCACGTGCATGCGTGCATGTGTGTGGGTGTGTGTGTATTGGGGGCGTGCAGGAGTGGGAGAGACAGGATCTCCATCTGCCACCCAGGACAGAGTACAGTGGCACAATCAACTCCCTGGAGCCTGGAACTCTTGGGCTCAAGCGACCCTCCAACCTCAGCCTCCTAAGTAGCTGGTACTACAGGCACATGCCATTACACCTAGCTAATTTTTGTGTTTTTTGTGTTTTTTGGTTTTTTTTGTTTTTTTTTTTTTAAGAGACAGGGTCTATGTTGCCCAGGCTTGGTCTCATACTCCTGGCCTCAATCTTCCTGCCTTGGCCTCCTAAAGCTCTAGGATTACTGCACGCAGCCCATGTGTTCATATGTTATTATAAATAAAATAAATTACTTCCTCAATATTAGGTAATAATGGAGGAAGATTTCCCAACATATATAAATTTTAAAAATAACAGAAAAATTTACAGCAGAGGCAAGTGAAGGATGCCTGACCCAGGATTTCTAAGGCCACTCTGGTAGAGTTTTCTGTCATTCACAACGGTTGGCATTCTCTCTCTTTCTATTCAGAAAGACCAGTTGTTCTTGATAACAGCATCATCCCTGGCTTCTTATAAATTATTGTCATTCTAGTTGCATTAATCTCTTTGACTTTTTCTTCTACATTCAGGGCTATCATTACAAGCCTTTGCTCTCTCTGTCACAAATTAACTCTTTTGCTGTATCTATTCTGCTTCTATTCTGTTAATTTCATTTAAAAGGAGAATTTGTGCTCTTAATTTCTCTCTCTCTCTTTTTTTTTTTTTTTTTTTTTTGAGACAAAGTTTTGCTCCTGTCGCCCAGGCTGGAATGCAATGGTGCAATCTTGGCTCACCACAACCTCCGCCTCCCAGGTTCAAGTGATTCTCCTGCCTCAGCCTCCCAAGTAGCTGGGATTACAGGCGCCTGCCACCACACCCAGCTAATTTTTTTTGTATTTTTAGTAGGGAGGGGGGGTTTCACCATGTTGCCAGGCTGGACTCAAACTCCTGACCTCAGGTGATCCCCCCGCCTCAGTCTCCCAAAGTGCTGGGATTACAGACGTGTTCCACCACACCCGGCCTGTGTTCTCAGTTTCTGTCTTCTTCAGGCATCTTTCTTACCAGCTCATTCTGTTGTTTTGGCATCCTACCCTTTGGATCTTGAGTCACTGAATTCATGATATCCTGAAATTCTTCTACACTGCAAAGCAGTTGTAGGAAATTTGCATTTGTTTCTTGGGTAATGTTTTCCCCAGCTTAAATTATTCATGTCTTTTGTACGCCGTCTTGCTTATATCTTTTAGAGGGGTTTTGCCCCTACATTGTTACCTTCTATGTTAACTAGGACAGTCCTTTCTATGTGTTTTATTCATTCTACATAAATGTCGTTAAATTATCTGTTAGTCTGTGTCCATGTTCTTTGATACCTTATTAGCTTCCCCTCAGATGTTCGGTTGGAGGTAAGGGTATTGTAAGTTATGTTTGTCTTTACACAGCCTGAGTCAGTTATATCTGCTTTTATGCATTCTATAGGAAGAGGAGGAGGGAACCCAGGTGGGCCTGGAGCTGGTTATGATGCATTTACCTAGGGAGAATTGCCAACATTTTAGAAAGTCAATCCAAGACACGGCTGTACCAAACAGACAAAAATAATAATTTTTAAAAAATTATAGACATTTTATTACTTTAACATAAAATATGAAGAATAGATGTTTACTTGAAATCATATATTATTACTTACTATTTACTTTCTATTATATAAATGCTAATATTTAAACAACAAAATAAGACTAAAAGTGGTAGTTAGTAGTAATTAATAGTAGGTATAAACAAATATATGTGAGAAAAATGTAATGATAATTGTATCAATTTTTTCTATTCTTTAACAGAGCAATTTATTTAAATCTTTTTAAATTCTCTTGGATATTAAAGAGATGCTATATATTCATCATGCTATATTAATATGTATTTTTAAGGTGCATAATACTTTTAAAAAAGAGAACATAAATAGAACTAATTAAAAATGTCTTATTACCACTATGCAATGAAAAACAAGTTTCTTTTAGTCCTTTGAGACATAGGAAAATTATAATCTTTCTGTTTACTTCTCTAATGATACTTCTTTCAAATGCCTGCACCCTTTAGGACATCCTTCTTTTATGTAGGCAAAACTATATAGCAAATGTAACATTACTTTGTCTTGCAGCTCTGCTCTCATTGAGCCTATGTTACATGGGTACCTGGTGTCAGTCCAGCATGGTAATGTCAAGGTGATATACATGCTCTCTACAAAAGCATTTGCGCTTCTACATCTTAGCCTATTTGTGTGTTGCTATAAAGGAAGACGTGAGACTGGGTAATTTACACAGAAAAGAGGTTGATTTTGCTCATGGTTCTGCAGAAGCACAGCACCGGCATCTGCTTCTGGTGAGGGCTTCCAGAAGCTTCCTCTCATGGCAGAGGTGAAGGGGAGCCAGAATGTGCAGAGATCACCATGCTGAGAGAAGCAGCAAGAGAAAGAGAGAGAGAGGAGGGAAGTGCCAGGCTCTTTTTAACAACCAGCTCTCATGGGAACTAATGGAATGAGAACCAACTCGTTACCATGAGCAGAGCACCAAGATGTTCAAGAGGGATCCACCCCCATAATCTAAATGCCTCCTACCAGGCCCCACCTCCAACACTGGGGATCCGATTTCAACATGAGATTTCGAGGGGTCAAATATCAAACTATAACAATGGAATACTTAATATTTTATTTACTGGCAACAGCAGGCTTTTAGATATGTAGGATTAGTTTTCATCCCCAAATCTCCACCCACTTTGTGTCTACAGGCTTGTTACCACAGACCAGCTTGGGCCTGTCCATCAGGTCTTTTGCATCTTTAAATGTGTGCATAAGTTCTCCAGATGTAAAATGGACATGGTTTTAAAACACGAAGTTTAACCTACCCCAGGGAAAATGGTTTTAAAGCACAGAAGTCATCTAAACTTGTGAAATTAACATTGCACTCTAAATAAATTACAAATTTAGTAAGGAAATTGAGAAAGTTCTGTTTAATTTGGTTGCCCTTTTCATTGACATTTTCTCAATTCTGAAGCTGTCTTATTTCCAAAAATTGAGGCTTTTTTCCATATAATTGTCACAACTTAAAACTATTCATGTACAGTTAATTCATCCTTTTCTAGGATACTTAATGTCTCTTCAAAGATCAAACAGCTTCAGAGAAACAGCATATAAATCTGTTTTACAGTACTCTTTTTCCCCCATTCTCATCCTCAACATATTTCCAAATTACAAGAGATTTCTTCTTGTCTCACACTTTGAAAATAGTTTACTGCAGGCCAAAGATTAAAAATCTTTTCTATGGCCAGCAACAGTATATCAAGATGTACCATCTTGTAGGCACATGTCTAAGAAGCTATCACTTCCCATTTTTATAAAGTCAAACATGTTGTTAATTGCTTCTGCATGTTCTGAGGAAACTTCAAAGTGACCAGGAACTTTTATTATGAAAGCCTCGATCCACAAGTAAGCAAATCACACCCCTTTTCAGCACTGTTGTGTTCAAGATGTGCAGGACATTTAGCAGGTAATATCTTTTTATTTCCTTTAGCAGAAAGTTTATAGCCTGAATAGAATTTGTTAAAATCTATATTAGTTACGTCTGCCAAGTCTGTAGATAGATGAGCAAAGTCTAATATGAATTTGGACAAGATTATCAACAGTCTTTTTTTTTATGTTTTCTATAGCTCCATTAAAATCTTTACAGAAATAAAGAAGATGATTTCAAACTCATTTTTTCACATCTAAGAGCTGGGGGAAACTTTTTATTCCTAACACATTACTCAGTACTAAAGAAAGCATGATCATTAACAAGAACTGACAGGATCAGCTCCATAGTGTGGGGGGCCAACAGATCAGTTACTAAAATTTCCCCTTTTTGTCAACCATACAGTATTTTAATTACAACCTCTGAATCAGGAAATGTAACTTCCTCAGTTTCACAGAAGATTCACAGAAACAATATGATAACTGTGTACACATTCATGCCATGTGCCCAAGCTAATTCAGTAGCTACTATTAAGCATTGGTATCATTTGAGAGACGAAAAAACTTTAAATTATCTTAGAAGTACTTGTATCTTTTCCTAATCTGGGCCTTTCTGTACTGTATCTATTAGAAATGCCTTGAAGAAATGCATGTGGATGATGCTTTGCTTAATTTCCAACCCTGAATGCCTGAGGTTGCAGGGAAATAAAGCAACGTAAAAGGAAGCAGCGTTTTGAGCAAGCCTTAGGGAAGATGTTGACTTCAAATGTCAATACAGATAGCTATATTTGCCAACCAAAGGACAGGATTTGCTACACCTTGGGATAGTGCATTGGTTGAGCAGTGAAAGTCATAGTCACATGTGACCTGTATATCATCTGGACAGTTTAGAGAAGGCCTCTTGAGGGATGAAGGATAGTATTCATTATTAAAACTTGTTAAATTCAATCCATTGTTCTGGGCCCTGATATGCATCATACCACTTCAATCTCACCACAGCTCCATAGGACAAGCACTATTATACCTGTTTTTAAGGTGTAAAAATTGAGGCTCAGCAGCATTAAGAAAGTTGCTTAGGGTCAATGAAAGAGAGGGAGCCCACTCTTGAACCCAAATCCATGGCTTCTGACCTAATGTTATTTTCAATAGTTTGAGGGGCTTTCAATACATCTTCTTTCAAGTCCTGGAATCCCAGAGAAGGTGATGAGGCAGAGAAGTTTCAAGTCAGAACTCTGAAGTTTTAACTATAGCTTCCAACAAGGCGGCTCTTATCTGTGTTGTATTTTGGAATTTCATTAGAATTCATTTGAAAAAGGAAGCAGGGATCTTCCGCTTTAAAAAACCTCGTAAAGAAATCAGCCTGTAACAATGTAAAGCAATGTCTTTCCTTCTCCCATATCCTTTTTTAATTGCTGATACTATGTACAATCTTGTTAACTGATTTGTGGATGGGGGTGTGTGTTGGTTTTCATTCCAATGTGTGCGTTTGCAGCATAGTTTGGATGTTTTTGCTTAAACACAAAAACGAAGAAGCAGTTACAAATGCTTTAACTTTGTTTGCTATAACGTTAGTATAAATAATAGACTAATGTCCTCAAATTATTAATGGAAATAAGCATAGCCTGGGGCTGGATGACTTGAAAAACCAGTGTGTGTTGTATAATGAAGAGAGTGTGGAATTTAGAGTCACATTTTGTCTTGAACTTCATTTCTGGTATGACCTTGTGCATGTTACCAAATTTCTCTCAGGCTCTGTTTCCTCATTTGTAAAACAGCAGCATAAAAGCCAACTTCACAGTGATGTGAAAATTAAATAAGAGAATGTACATAAAAAGAGCTGACACATTTGGGGTTGCTAACTGATGCTCCATTTTTATTGATATCGATGGATCAAATTCTTGAAAGTAATGATACCCTCTGTGAGATTTACCAACAAGAGGCCTTTGTGGCAGCCAGAGGGCTCCGTGTCAGCCTGGCTCTCGAGAATAAAACAGCACTCCCATAGCAAGCATTTTGACAGGCCTGCAGCAGGTTTGCCCTCACGTTTAACACTACACTTGAAATGGTGGCTTGAAAGGCCTGGAGCATCCATAGCACAAAAGAACAAACAATCTTTACACTGACATTGATTTCTCCATTGTTCACGTTTACTGATCAGGACGTGAGGTCCAGAGACTTGTGTTGGAATGCATAACATTTTCTCTTTTTGATTTCTTCAACTTTTATTTTAAGTTCCGGGATACATGTGCAAGATATGCAGGTTTGTTACACAGGTAAACCTGTGCTGCACAGATCAACCCATCACCTAGGTATTAAGTCCAGCATACATTAGCTATTTATCCTGATACCCTCCCTCCCCATGCCCCGCCCCCTGCAAGTCCCAGCGCCTGTTGTTCCCCGCAATGTGTCCATGTGTTCTCATCATTCAGCTCTCACTTAAAAGTAAGAACAGAACGCGTGATATTTTCAAACCCATTTTGGGGGACAGCAAATACACCTTCTCCCAAAGATTTGAATGAATTCAATTGTTCAAGTTTTGGACACCCATAAACCAGATCTAGTGATGAAATCCCACCCTATAGGAACTACTTAAAAGGTAATTTTCAAAAACAAAAGCTGAACTTGAGAGAGAAAAAAAATTTTTATTTTAGAATCCCCTTTTTAAGAAACTGGAAACGATTTTTTTAAATTATACTCTAAGTTCCAGGGTACATGTGCACAACGTGCAGGTTAGTTACATATGTATACATGTGCCATGTTGGTGTGCTGCACCCATTAACTCGTCATTTACATTAGGTATATCTCCTAATGCTATCCCTCCCCCAGCCCCCCACCCCACGACAGGCCCCAGTGTGTGATGTTCCCCTTCGTGTGTCCAAGTGTTCTCATTGTTCAATTCCCACCTATGAGCGGGAACATGCAGTGTTTGGTTTTTTGTCCTTGAGATAGTTTGCTGAGAATGATGGTTTCCAGCTTCATCCATGTCCTTACAAAGGACATGAAGTCATCCTTTTTTATGGCTGCATAGTATTCCGTGGTATATATGTCCCACGTTTTCTTAATCCAGTCTATCATTGATGGACATTTGGGTTGGTTCCAAGTCTTTGCTATTGTGAATAGTGCCGCAATAAACATACGTGTGCATGTGTCTTTATAGCAGCATGATTTATAATCCTTTGGGTATATATCCAGTAATGGGATGGCTGGGTCAAATGGTATTTCTAGTTCTAGATCCTTGAGGAATCACCACACTATCTTCCACAATGGTTGAACTAGTTTACAGTGCCACCAACAGTGTAAGAGTGTTCTTATTTTGCCACATCCTCTCCAGCACCTGTTGTTCCCTGACTTTTTAATGATCGCCATTCTAACTGGTGTGAGATGGTATCTCATTGTGGTTTTGATTTGTATTTCTCTGATGGCCAGTGATGATGAGCATTTTTTCATGTGTCTGTTGGCTGCATAAATGTCTTCTTTTGAGAAGTGTCTGTTCATATCCTTCGCCCACTTTTTGATGGGGTTGTTTTTTTCTTGTAAATTTGTTTGAGTTCTTTGTGATGGTGGATATTAGCCCTTTCAGATGAGTAGACTGCAAACATTTTCTCCCATTCTGTAGGTTGCCTGTTCACTCTGATGGTAGTTTCTTTTGCTGTGCAGAAGCTCTTTAATTAGATCCCATTTGTCAATTTTGGCTGTAGCCTTGTAGTATAGTTTCAAGTCAGGTAGCTTGATGCCTCCAGTTCTGTTCTTTTGGCTTAGGATTGTCTTGGCAATGCGGGCTCTTTTTTGGTTCCATATGAACTTTAAAGTAGTTTTTTCCAATTCTGTGAAGAAAGTCATTGGTAGCTTGATGAGGATGGCATTGAATCTATAAATTACCTTGGGCAGTATGGCCATTTTCAAGGTTAGAGAAAAAGGAGTAAAAGAAATGAACAAAGCCTCCAAGAAATATGGGACTATGTGAAAAGACCAAATCTACGTTTGATTTGTGTACCTGAAAGTGACGGGGAGAATGGAACCAAGTTGGAAAACACTCTGCAGGATGTTATCCAGGAGAACTTCCCCAACCTAGCCAGGCAGGCCAACATTCAAATTCAGGAAATGATTTTAAGACTCCATTTTTAAGCTGTTTGCCCTCTTGAGACAAAAAAAAAAAAAAAGAAAGAAAAAAGAAATAAGGAATAGATCGTGTATAAAAGTCCATGGAAAATCAAAAGCCTTTTAACAATTGCCCTCCAATATACACTCTTATACTTCTGCTTTAACAGACAGAATTACTATGGACCTTATGACTAATTACTCAATGAACTCATTTCAGCCTTCACTGCAACCCTAATGAGAAAAAGACTACTACTAGGATGCTACTTGGAATGAACATTTGTCTCCACTACAAACAAAATTTAAGAAGTCAATATTTGGGTTCTCCCAACAATGGAGAGAAAAATCAGCAAATTAAATTTTTTAAAAGCAATTTTCTTTGCATTTCTTGGAAATCACATCTCTATCAATAAGACATTATAACACTTTATCTCTTTCTGTCTTAAGGAATGTGTACACCAGCTTGTGGCTGTGGCAAACTGGAGCTGTAACACCCACGGCTACCAAGAGATGACAGGCAGGCACGAGTGTGCTGAGGATTAGTGGGTGGCTGCCATCTGGATCTGACTCATGTTTCTCTGCCTCATTGACTCTTGATCTTGTTTCAGAATGATCATTTTCCACGTTCCCTCTTACCCTTTTATATTTTAGTTCTGTAGTTTAATTATTTAATTTCGTAACGGCATCATCTGATTGAGGGACTTTGGTATTAGCTCTGAAAAGCATTTTTGGGGGATTCATTTGGCCTGAAACACCACATAAAATGTGATTTTATTATGTGTGATGAGGATTACTATGATTAGGGTGGACCATTTTCAAAAACAAATTAGTTCAAGGAAACAGAGGTCTGAGGCTGGCTCTTTCCTCTTTAGAGCCCTTGGGCTCCAGTAAAACTGTCCACTGCTCATGTTTTATTTATTTATTCTAGTCATTTAGTCATTTCTGTTTTTAAATTTGAGGAAAAAACTCATCATGCTACAGCATGGTGTGGTGAAAATACATATGCATAGGACATCAGGAGACCTGGAGTCTTCTCTGAGCTTTTCTACCCACTATTTACTTGTGTAAATTATAGGAAATCATCTATTTTGGACTCATTATCCCTGTTTATAAAGTGAGGGTATTGGATTGAATACCTTTTACTTTTTCATTTGCATAAGGCATTTAAAGATTCTATGGAATTAAAAAACTTACTGATATGTCATAGAGTCAAAAATTGTGTTATTTACCCTTTAGAAAGTCTCATAAAAATATTCAAACTGCAAAAATTTTAGCAGTTCTGAGAAACAGGAATGGAATATGCCAAAGTAAAATATTTAGAACTCTCTGATAGCCAGAGATCGGACAGAGGCACCAGTAAACACTGGAGAAATCCCCTATCCCAGAGAAACAAGAACTCAAGGTCAAAACCACGTAAGAATCTTTTGGATAAGCATGAGTTTGATTACCTTCCTCCTTAGTAAACCTGCATATGAGAACTTCTCAAAGTTTGCTCTTAATCACACACACACATGAGAATTAGCCATAATGGGGAGCATCATATTAGTGATACTGAAATAAAATAACAACATCTCTTGCTATGGGTATAGACCTGTTCCACTACACTACTTCTCCAAGGAAACTGTAAACTGCAAACGCCACATGTAAACTGCTAAAATTGTACTACTAGGGTTTCCTTTTGCTTCTTTTATTCTGATCTTAGAGATCCTCCTATAAAATATTTGAGGAGAGATCTATATCAAACTCCAGCATAATCCAATGTGACTTATTAAATAAAACTAATACTGAGAGAACAGCTCTGCTTCTGCAATGCTGAAATAGCAAAGAAAACTATTCTTTAGTTCAAAAAAAGGAGGTAATCAATTTCCTGAATATTCAAGGGGTAACTTCTTGTGAAAGAGAGTAAATGTAATTTAGAAAAAGGAAATTAATTTGGAAGTACTTGATTTGCATTCTCGAGAATATTCTAGGGGCCATTTGGGTCTATAACACTAGACCAAAGCTGTCATGAGACCATAAATCTAAGAATATAAAGAACTGAATATAGAGAGAGAGAGAAATATATAGTTAGATACTTTGTGGGAGACAGTAAACAGCAGATAGGATGTAGCAGAAAATTGAATTATTCAGGTTGTAAACAAACACAAGGAATTTCCCTAGCATGCAAAAAACCTAAGATGACAAAGGGAGAGAAGAGAAAGGGAAGAAGAGAGGAAGGGAGGAAGAGGAGCAGAGAGAAAAAAAGGAAACAAGGGAGAACAAAAGTGGACAAGATATAGAGGCAAGACCTTGAATTGGTTTATGCCTTTCTCTCCCATTACCACTCGTCTCAAATGTTACCTTATATTAATATCCAACCAATTATTTGTCCCACCGAAACCAGTCCATTTCTTGCTTTGTGCATTTGCTAATGCTCTCATTCTATGCTCAAAAAACCCTTCTCTATTTTATTCACTTCCTTTCCATCCCCAACACTGATGAGTTAAATCTAGTTCATCTGTCAAAACTCCCCTCAATTCCTTTTTGAATGAATGAATGCATGATCTAATTATTGATGATGGTGTTGTTAGTTATAATGCATTTGCCTGTAGCCACACAATCAAAAAGAATATATTTTCGACTAGATAGTACTGAAATTATTTTCATTTAATTTTAATAATTATAAAAGTAATTTCTAATGTTATACAAAAAATAAATCATTTACCCCCCACCATTCAAAATAACTAGTTATTGGTATCCTTCTTTAAAGATTTTACTATGCATATTCCTTAATATAAAGTGAACTTTTTTAGTTTTTTGACTGATGTATTGACTTATTATTGGCATGCAATAAGTTATACACATTTAAAATGTATAACTTGATGAGATTTCATGTATGTACCTTTGAAACATCACCACAATCTAGATAATGAATATCAATATCCTCCTCAAATTTTCCTCATTCTTCTTTATAATCCCTCCCTCCTACTCCATATGTACCTCCAACCCCCATCTCCAGACAGCCATTCATCTTCCTTTTCTCACCATAGTTTATTTTACATTTTCTGGAATTTAATACAATGGTATAATACAGTATATACTTTTTAATCTGGCATCTTTCATTCAGCATAATTATTTTGAGATTTATTCATGTTGCAGCATATATCAATAATTTTCTCTTTGTATTGTTGAACAATATTCTATTGTATGAAAACATTACAGTTTATTCACCACTTGATACATGTAAGGATTGTTTCCAGCTTTCGGCTATTACAAATAAATAATGAAGCAATGAAAATTTGTAAATGAGTCTTTGTAAGGATATATGCTTTCATTTCTATTGTGTAAATGAATACCCAGAAGAGGAGTGTGTGAACAATATGATAGGTGTGTGTTTAATATTTAAGAAACTGCCAGACTGTTTTCCAAAGTGGTTGCACCATTTCTCCATTCCCACCAGCAAAGTGTGAGTGTTGGTGTTCTTCTTTGCCAATTCTTGTGATGGTCAGTCTTTTAATTTCTAACCATTCTAAAAGTAAGTAGTAGTATCATATTACAGTTTTAATATGAATTTCCCTAATTAATTCTGATGTTGAGCATATTTTATGTGCATATTTGCTATCTGTATATCTTCTCTAGTGACATATCTGTTCAAATCTTTTGTCCATTTTTAATTGGATTGTTCTTTTTTATTATTTAATTTTAACTGTTCTTTGTATATACAGAATAAAACTTTTTTACAAGGTACATGATTGGCAAATATTGTCTCCCAGTGTGTAGCCTGTGTCTTCATTCTTTTAATAATGCCTTTTGAGCTACAGAAGTTTTTAATATTGATAAAGTACAGTTTATCAATTGTTTATAAATTGTGTTTTCACTGCTGTTATATAAATAATTTTTGCCTAGCTGAAGATCACAAAGGTTTTCCTCTGTGTTTTCTTCCAGAAATGTTATAGCTGTAGGTTGCACATTTAAGTCTATGGTCCATTTTATATTCATCTTTGTTTATGTTGTAAAGTATAAGCTGAAATCTATCATTTGCACATGAATATCCAGATTTTCCAGCACCATTTATTGAACATACTATTATTCCTCCGTGAAATTTGCCTGTGCCAAAAATTAATTGTTCATGCATGGGTTTATTTTTGAAGTGTCTATACTGTTCCATTAATCTATCTTGACACTGATACCCCACTATCTTCCATACTGTAGCTTTATGATAAATCTTAAAGTATTCTTTGTCCTCCAATTTTGTTCTTTTTTTTCAAATTTGCTTTGGCTATTCTAGGTCCTTGGTCTTTCCATATGAATTTTATAATCAATGTATCAGTTTCCACAACATACAGAAAGCCTTCACAATTTTCACTGGGAGTGCAACGAATCTATAGATCAATTTAAGGAAAATTGACATTTTGCCAATATTAAGTCTTCTGAACCATTACCTCTAGTTATCTCTCTATTTATGTCTTCTTTCATTTGTTTCAACATTGTTTTGTAGCTTGCAGTGTACAGGTCTTTTACATCTTTTGGCAGATTTATCCCTAAGTTTTTACATTTACATTGCTATTGTAAACTATATTATTAAAAATTTTCAGTGATGTATTTCCAATAATTTGTTGCACTATGTAGAAATATAAATTTTTTGTATGTTGATCTTGCATCCTGGAACCTTGGTAAACTCACTTATTAGTTCTTGTAATTTTTTGTGTATAGATTCCGTTGGAATTTCTACAAAGATAATCATCTGCAAATAGTTTTACATCTTCTTTACCCAGATGGATGTCTTTTAGTTCTTTTCCTTGCCTTATTTCACTGACTAGAATCGCCAGTATAATGTTAAATAGATTTAATGACAGTAGACAGTCTAGTTTTTTTTCTGATCTTACTGGGGAAGCATTCAGTCTTTTAACCATGAAGTATGATGTGGCTTAACAGTTTTCATAGATGTGATTTATTGAGAAAGTTCCCTTCTATTTCTAATGTATTGCGCTTTTTATTGGGAAATGGTAGATCTTGTCAAATGTTTTTTCTGGGTCCATGGAGATAATCATATATTGTCGGGTTTTCTTAATTTTTTATATAATCAATCATATATAATGATTTCTACACGTGTTAAACTAGTCTTGCATTCTTGCAACAAATATCACTTGATCTTGATCTTGTATATATTGTCGATAACAATTTACTAAAATTGGGTTAAGAATATTTGCATCTCTGTTCTTAAAAGATATTGGTGTCAACACCATACCTGCTAACCTCGAGGCTTTAGTCATACAAAGAAAATGGCCTTTCTATATTGTTCTTCTGTGCTCTCATAATGCTTAACCATGTCTTTTACTTAAACAATTCCAGGAACTGGCCTTAGGAGATCCAAAATAAGGAATCAAGATTGCAGAGTGCCCCATCTTGGGAGGGAATGCTGAATAATTAATTGATTTACAGCCTTGTTGCTGCTGGCCAGACCACCAGGTGGCCCATTACTCAAGATAATCATCACAACCAGATGATGCTAACCTATATCCTCTACCCTTCGCATGCTTTGTCTGGGAAAAGCCTTTGGCCCCATGTCAATTTCTATTGCATTGAGAGCCCAGGAGCCCCTCGTCAGTCAGGGATGTTTGCAAAGTTTACTCATGTTGTAGCATGTGTCAGAATGTCATTCCTTTCTATGGCTGAATAAAATTCCATTGTATGAATATTTTAAAAAAGAGAGATATTGGTTGGAAGTTTTCCTTCTTTGTAAAGTCTTTGCCTGCTTTTGGTATCAGGGTAACGCTGGCTTCATTGAATAAGTTAGAAAATATTGTCTCTTCTTAAATTTTCTCCAAGAGTTTGTACAGAATTTTTATTATTTATTTTTAAATGTTTGGTAGAATTCGCCAGGGAACTTATCTAAACCTAGACTTTTCTTTGTGGGGATAATTTAACCATACATTCAATTCAATTACCAAATATAGGGCTATATAGGTTATCTTTTTCTTCTTGGGTGAGCTTTGATAGTTATGTCTCTCAAGAAATTTTTCCATTTCATCTAAGTTGTCCAATTTATTGGCACAAAGTTGTTCGTAGTATTTCCTTGTTATCCTTTGCATATCTACAGAAATTGTAGGAATTTCGCCTCTCATTTCTGATACTGGTCATTTGTGTCTTCTCTCTTTTTCTTATCAGTCTGGATTGGATTTTTTGTTTGTTTGTTTGTTTTGTTTTGGCAGAGTCTCGCTCTGTCATCGGGCTGGAGTGCAGTGGTGTGACCTTGGCTCACTGCAACCTCCAACTCCCTGGTTCAAGGGATTCTCCTGCCTCAGCCTCCCACGTAGCTGGGATTACGGGCAGGTGCCACCACACCCAACTAAATTTTTGTATTTTTAGTAGAGACAGGGTTACATCACGTTGGCCAGGATGGTCTTGATCTGCTGACCTCGTGATCTGCCCACCTTGGCCTCCCAAAGTGCTGGGATTACAGGTGTGAACCACCATGCCCAGCCTGGAATGAAGTTTTATCAATTTTATTGATCTCAAAGAACCAACTTTTGATTGAATTGCTTATTGTTTTTCTATTTGTAATTTTATTTATTTCTATTCTGATTTTTCTTATTTCCTTCATTTTACTTACTTTATATTTCAGTCTTCTTTTTATCCTTTCTTATGGTGGAAGCTGAGGTTGTTGATTAGAGATTCCATCTTTCTTCTTTTCTGATATGTGCCTACTGGTCTATAAATTTCCCCCAAGAATGTGGCATCCCAGAGATTTTAATATGCTATACTCATTTCATTCAGTTCAAGATACTTTCTAGTTTCACTTTTGATTTCTTCTTTGACCTATAGTTCCTTTAGAAGTACATTATTTAATTTTCAAATTTTGGGGACTCTTACAGAAACCTTTCTGTTGTTGATAATTTAATTTCCTTGTGGTCATAGAACATACTCAATATCATTTGAATTCTTATAAATTCATTGTGACTGGCTTTATGGTTCATAATATTATCTATCTTTGTAAAAATTCCATTGCAGTTGAAAAGAATGTATAGTCTGCTGTAGGTGGGTAAAGTATCCTATGAATATCAGTTAAGCCACATTCATTGATAGTGTTATTTAAATCATCTATATTCTTACTGATTTTCTCTCTACTTATTCTATCAATTATTCAGAAAGGGTTATTAAAATCTCCAACTAAAGTCATGGATCTATCTATTTTTCCTTGCAGTTCTATCAGTTTTTACGTCAATTATTTTGAAGCTCTGTTATTAGGTAAACATTTAGGACTTTTGTTTGTTCCTAATAAACTGACCCTTTACTATTACGGAATTACCTTTTTATACCTGGCAATATGCTATGCTCTGAAAGCTACTTTATTTGATATTAGAAAAAGCTTCCTAGCTTTCTTTTGATTATCATTAGCTTGGTATATCTTTTTCATCCTTTTACTTTTAACCCACTCAAGTCTTTATATTTAAAATGTGTTTATACACAGCTCTGAGTGGAGAGACTTCAAGATGGCTACCTGGAGGCACCCAGGGAATCTCTGAGGCATGGAAGGAGAGGGAAGCTAAGCATCTAGCCTGGCCAGGATTAAGAACAGCTCTGTGTCAGAAGAAACTCCATAATGCAGGGAAAAGGTGAGCAAAGGATCCCCAGGACTCCACATTCCCACAGACTCCTGCAATCCTAGCCACAGGAGAGCCCCTCAGCCCTCATGGGCCCTGAAACTAGTATATGAAGCTGCCTAGAGTTCATACCATGACATTGTTCCAGAGATGTAGTTTAGGCTGGATCCCACACACTCCCCAGACCCAAGCAGCTGCAGCACACAGCCATTTTAAGAGCCCAGGCCCCACCAGATGATATCCTGCCCTGGGGCCCAACAGCCCCTGAATTTCCACATCCATGGAGCCCCACTGATATTTCCTCATGTCCACCAAGTAGGCTGGCTGGACCCAGCATTGCAGCCAGGTCCCCAGCACTCTAGCCCACGCGGTGTTCTACACCCTAGTGAATGGCAGTGCAGTGCACCAGGGAAGCTTTCTCCAGGACAAAGGGAGCTGAAGCATGCACTCCCCGGAACCTGAGAGCCACCTGACTGGGGCTGCTGCCACTGACAGCAACCTTGCATCCCCAGACACAGACACTCTGCACATGCATGTGCTTTCAGCAGGCTTGGAGTCTGGTCTGTCTGGGAGCCTTCCTGGGGCCTGAAGACAAGCCTGTCCTCACCACTGCCACCACCATGACCACACCATCTAGGGACCTACACATCAATAATGCTTGCCAGTTTGGGTGCTTATGTGCACCATCAGCAGGCTTCAGGACAGTTCTGCCTCACCTGGCATCATTCCCCATGCTAGCACAATCAGGGAACTTGGAGATTAACCTGCTCTACCCACCAATGACCTTACTGGAGAGATAGACTCCAATTCAATAATAGTTGGGGAATTCAACACCTCACTTTCAGCATTGGACAGATAATCTAGACAGAAAATCAGCAAAAAAACATTGGATTTAGACTGCACCTGAGAACACGTAGACCTAACATTTACAGAACATTTCACCAAACAGCTACAGAATACACATTCCTCTCATCAGCACATGGAACATTCCCCAGGACAGACCATATGTTAGGCCACAAAATTAATCTCAGTAAATTTTAAGCATCAAAATCCTATCAAGTATCTTTTCAGATCACAGTGGAATAAAACTAGAACTCAATAATAAAAGGAAATATGGAAATACGTGAAATTAAACAACATGCTCTTGAATGGCCATTGAGTCAAGGAAGACACTGAGAAGGAAATTTAAAAATTCTTGAAATAAATGAAAGTAAAATTACAACATACCAAAATCTGTGGAATACAGTAAAAGTGGTGCTAAGAGAAGTTTATAGCAAAAAAGTGACTATGTCAAAAAAGTAGAAAATTTCAAATAAACAATTTAGTGATGCACCTCAAGGAACTAGAAAAGCAAGAACAAACCAAACCCAAAATTAGTAGAAAGAAAGGAATAATAAAGATCAGAGCAGAACTAAATGAAATAGAGACTAAAAAAATACAAAGGATCAATGAAATGAAGTTTTTAAAAAATAAATAAAATCAATAAACTGCTAACTGACTAACAAAAAAGAGAGAAGACCCAAATAAATAAAGTCAGAAATGACACAGGAGGTATTACTCCTGATACCACAGAAGTACAAAGAATAATTAGATGCTATTATGAACAACTATATGCTAGCAAATCAGAAAACCTAGAGGAAAATGATGAATCCCTGGATACATACAATCTACCAAGATTGAACCAGGAAGAAATAGGAAATCTGAACAGAATAATAATGAGTACAAGATTGAATGAGTAATAAAAAGTCCCCTAACAACAACAACAAGAACAAAAACTCAGGACCAGATGACTTTACTGATGAATTCTACCAAACTTATAAGGAAGTACTAACACCAATTTTTCTAGAATTACTCCAAAAAATTAAAGAGGAGGGAATTCTTCCTAACTCATTCTACAAAACCAGCATTACCCTAATACTGAAACGAAACAAGGATACAACAAAAAAAGAAACCTATAGATCAATATCCCTAATGAACATAGATGCAAAAGTCCTCAACAAAATATAGCAAACAAAATACTAGCAAACCAACAACACATCAAAAAGATAATATACCATGATCAAGGGGGATTTAACCCAGGAGTGCAAGGATGGTTCAACATATACAAATCAATAACTGTGACATATCATATAAACAGAATGGAAGATAAAAACCATACAGTCTTCCCAAAAGATGTAGAAAAGGCATTTCATAAAATTGAACATTCCTTCATGATAAAAAACTCTTAACAAATTAGGCATAGTAGAAACATAATAAAACATAAGAAACATAATAAAACATAAGAAACATAATAAAACATAAGAAACATAATAAAAGCCACATGTGACAAACCCAGCTAGTATCATAATAAATGGAGAAAAGCTGAGAGAATTTCCTCTGAGAACTGGAACAAGACAACAATGCCCACTATCACTATTCATACTCAACATAGTACTGACAGTTCTAGCCGGAACAATCTCTAGCAAGAGAAAGAAATAAAAGGCACTTAAATTGGAAAACAGAAAGTCAAATTGTCTCTCTTTTTATATAACGTGATCTTATTATATTTAGAAAAACCAAGACTACACCAAAAAAACTCTTAGAACTGATCACTGAATTCAGTAAAGTCTCAGGATACAAAATCAACAAATATCAGTAGTATTTCTATCACTAATAAGAAACTAGCTGAAAAATAAATCAAAAAAGCAATCCCATTTACAATAGCTACAAAAAATAACAAAATGCCTAGAAATAAATTTAACCAATAGGTGAAAGACCTCTAGAAGGAAAACTACAAAACACTGATGAAGAAATTGAAAAGGACACAAACAAATGGAAAGACACCCATGCTCATGGATTGAAAGAATTGATATTGTTAAAATTAATCTTGAGACTATACTACTCCAAAGCAATCTACAGATTCAATGCAACCCCCATCAAAATACCAATGACATCCTTCACAGAAATAGAGAAAAACCTCCAAAATTCATATGAAACCACAAAACACCCAAAATAGCCGAAGCAATCCTAAGCAAAATGAACAAAGCTGGAGGCATTACACTACCTGCCTTCAAAATATAATACAAAGCTATAGCAACCAAATCAGCATGGTACTATCATAGAAACAGACATACAGACCAGCACAGCAGAACAGAAAACCCAGAAAGATATTCACCTATTTGTAGCCAATTGATTTTTGAAAAAAGCACCAACAACATCCTTTGGGGAAAGGACACCCTCTTCAATAAATGATGATGGGAAAACTGGATATCCACATGCAGAAGAGTGAAACTAGACCCCTACCTCTCGGCACATACAAAAATCAACACAGAATGGATTAAAGACTTAAATATAAAACCCAAAACTATGAAACTACTAGAAGAAAACACTGGAGAAATTCTTCAGAAGGTTGGTCTGGTTAAAGATTTTATGGCTAAGATCTCAAAAGCACAGGCAACAAAAACACAAACAGACAAATGGGACTACATTAAACGAAAAAGCTTCTGCACAGAAAAGGAAACAATCAGCAGAATGAAGAGACAACCTGCTGAATGAAAAAAAAAATATTTGCAAACTCTCTGGCGGGGGACTAATAACCAGAATATACAAGGAACCCAATTCAATAGCAAGAAAACATATAATTCCATTAAAAAGTAGACAAAGGTTTCTGATGAAGCCTATGTTGGTAGAGACATCTGAGAGTATTGATGAATGCCAACAGCTTAAATGGAGAAAATGATAATAATAAAGTGGGCAAAGGATCTAAATAGACATTTCTCAAAAGAAGACATACAGGTGGCCAACAGATATATGAAAAAATGCTCACTATCACGAATCACCAAGAAAACACAAATCAAAACCGCAATGAGATATCATCTTACTTTAGTTAGAATGGCTGTTATCAAAAAGACAAAAAAATAACAGATGCTGGCAAGGATGTGGAGAAAAGGGAACTCGTATAGCCTGTTAGTCAGAATCTAAATTTATACAGCCATTATAGAAAACAATATGCAGGTTTTGAAAAAAAACTAAAAATAGGACTATCATGCAATCCAGTAATCACGCTATTGAATATTTAACCAAAAGAAAGGAAATCAGTATATTAAAGAGATACCTGCTTCCCATGTTTATTGCAGCACTATTCGCAAGAGCCAAGATATGGAATCAACCTAAGTGTTTATCAACAGATAAATGGATTTTTTAAATGTGGTCTATATCCATAATGGAATACTAGTCCACCATTAAACAAGAATGAAATCCTGTCATTTGCAGCAACATGGATGGATCTGAAGGTCATTATGTTAAGTGAAATAAGCGAGACACAGACAACTACCACTCACATTTTTCTCAGTCACATGTCTGAGCTAAAAAGTTGATCTCATGGGGATGAAAGTCGAATGATAGTTACCAGAGGCTGGGAGTGGGGAAGGGAGAAGAGAAATCGGTTAATGTGGGTACAAACACAGTTAGATAGAAGGAATAGATTCCAGTGTTCAATAGCATAGTGAAGTGATGATAGGTAACAACGATATCTATTTCAAAATAACTAGAAGATTTGAAATATTCCCAACACAAAGAAATGATAACTGCCCAAGGTGATGGATATCCTAAACACTCTGATTTTATCATTACACATTGTGTGAATGTATCAAAATATCACATGTGCTCTATAAACATGTATAATTACTATATACCAATAAAAAATTTTAAGTGTGTTTCTTATATGCAGCACAATTTTAATTTTTTTATTTCAATAGGTTTTTGGAGAACAGGTGATGATTACATGAATAAGTTCTTTAATGGTGATTTCTGAGATTTTGGTGCACCATCACCTGAGCACTGCACACTGTACCCAATGCGTAGTCTTTTATCCCTTACACTCCTCCCACCCTTTCCCCAAGTCTCCAAAGTCCATTTTAACATTCTTATGACTTTGCACACTCACAGCTTGGCTCCCACTTACGAGTGAGAACATAAGATGTTTGGTTTTTTATTCTTGAGTTACTTCACTTAGAATAATAGTCACCAATTTCATCTAGGTTGTTGTGAATGCCACTATTTTGTTTCTTTTTATGGCTAAGTGGTATCCCACGGTATATTTATACCACAATTTCTTTATCCATTTGTTGATTGGTGGGCATTTGGGCTGGTTCTATATTCTTGCAATTGTGAATTGTGGTTCTTATATGCAGCAGAATTGAGTAACTTGTTTATCAATATGATTATATATTTGCCCTTACATAGAGTATGCAACATTGACATCTGAGTGGAGAGGAACTCCACTCAGGAGTTATGGTTAGGTTTAAGTCTACATTCCTGTTAATTTTTTGTCTATTTGTGACACCTGTCCTTCAACTACCTTTTTCTCTTTTCCTGGCTTCTTTTGGATGAATTGAATGTTTTTATAACAATTTACCTTCTTGTCAACTCATTAGCCGTAACTCTTAACTGTTTTAGTGGTTGCTTTAGTGTACGTTTTCAAATTATCATAGTCTACATTTAATTGTTAATATACCATTTAATACATAAGACACTTACAATAGAATACTTTTATTTCTCTCTTCCTGATCTTTGTGCTCTTGTTGTCATATATTTTAATTTTACAAAAAATATAAACTCCAGACTACATTGAGATTACCTTTATTTAAATACTTAGCTATTTTTAAAGAGACTAAAATAATAATCTAAAATCAAATATATTTACTCATGTTACCATTTCTAGTGCTCCTTGGTCTTTTGAATAGATACATCTTTCCACTCGTATCATTTTCCTTCTGCCTAAAGTTTTCTTTTAATATTTCTTGGCGTGAGAGTCTGCTGTTGATGATGTCTTTTAGTTTTTGTATGTCCGAAAAGTCTTTATTTCATCAGCAGTTTTAAAAGCTATTTTCACTGAGTACAGAATTCCATACTTCAAAAATGCTGCACCATTGTTTTTTCACTTGCATTGTTTCCAACAAGAAATCTGTTAGATTCTTATTTTTGTTTCTGTGTACATAATGCATCTTTTTTCCTTTCCTGGGTGCTTTGAAGATTTTTTTTTTTTTTGTCATTGGTTTTGAGTTTTTTGTTTGTTTTTGTTTTTGTGGAGACAGAGTCTTGCTCAGTCGCCCAGGCTGGAGTGCAGTGGTGTGATCTCGGCTCACTGCAACATTCATCCACCTGGTTCAAGCAATTCTCCTGCCTCAGCCTCCTGAGTAGCTGGGATTACAGGCATGAGCCACCATGCCCAGCTAATTTTTGTATTTTTAATAGAGAGGGGGGTTTCACCATGTTGCCCAGGGTGGTCTCGAACTCCTGAGCTCAGGCAATCTGCCCAACTCAGCCTCCCAAAGTGCTGGGATTACAGGCATAAGCCACCACACCTGGCTGGTTTTGAGAAGTTTAATTATGATTTTCCTTGAAGTCGTTTTTTTCATGTTTCTTATGCACATGGTTTCCTGTGTCCCTATCATTTTTATTGTATCTCAGAGATTTAAGCCTTTATTTCCTCAAATATTTTTTTCTGTCCCTACCTATTTCTCCTCTCCCCAGTGGCTCAAATTATATGTACTGGGCTGCTTGAAGTTGTCCCATAGTTCACTAGTGCTCTCTTCTTCTCAAATCTCTTCTCTGTGTGTTTCATTTTGGAAATGTTCTGTTTCTGTATTTTCAAACTAATCTTCTCTTCTGCCACATCTAATTTTCTTTAATTCAATCCAGTGTGTTTTTCTCCTACACACTGTAGATTTCATCTCCAGAGGTTCAATTTGGGTTTTTCTTATATCTTCTGTGTCATTACTTAATTTTTGAACATGTGAAATATAGTTAGAATAGCTCTTTAATGTTCTTGCCTAATAATTATAACATCTATCTCAGTTCTGGTTTTGATTGAATAAATTATCTCCTCCTCATGGGTAGTGCTTTCTTGTTCCTTTGCATGCCTGATAATTTCTTCTTGGATTCTACACATTGTGATTTTACCTCACTTAGTGCTGAATATTTTTGTGTTCCAATAAATATTCTGAGGCTTTGACTTGGGATGCAGCTAATTTACTTGGAAGTAGTTCTATGATTCAAGGTTTTGCTTTTAATATTTGTTTGGCAGGACCAGAGCCCTGGTCTACAGCTAACGCTCAGTCTAGAGGTAACAACAGTCAGCTCTGTATTCATGGGTTCCACACACATGGATTCAACCAACTGTGGATTAAATATATTTTTAAAAATTGCATCTGTGCTGAATATGAACAGATTTTTCCTTGTCATTATTCCCTAAACAATACAGTCTAACAACTTATTTACATAGCATTTACATTTGTAGGTATTATAAGTAATTTAAAGATTTAAAAGTATACAGGAGGAAGTGCATAAGTTATATGCGACTATTGCAATATTTTATATGAAGGACTTGGGCCTCCACAGATTTTGGTATCTACAAGAGGTCTTGTAACCTATCCTCTATGAATATCGAGGGATGACTTTATTCCTCCCTACTGAGGAAAAATCCTGTGTACTTTATCCAATGTCCCATGAGTCATGAGGTTTTCCAGTCTGTCTTTCAGAACCAAGTACTACTTCCAGTCCTGTGTGTGTGTCAGATATTGTTCCCTCCATTTCCTGCAGGTGGTCTTTCCTTGGCTTTGGCTAATTTCCCTATAAGTACGCTTGCATATCCAGCTAAATACCTGAGGGTAATCCCTGAAGATCTCCAGAGTTTTCCTTCTGTGCAGCTTTCTTTCTAGGACTCTGTCCTACAAATGCTATGCACCTTGGTTTCTCCAGGCCTTCAGCTCTGTCTCCCAACTGTTTCTTTAACTCAGGGAGTCTGCTGGGCTGCAAGTCAGTTCATTGTCCCTGCACTGCAATCTAGAAACTCTCTAAGACAATGAGCTGGGGGAATTTAAGGGCTTATCTCTCAGGAATCACTGCCCTTCGTTGCCTAATGTCCATCAACATTGGTTTATATATTTTATCTCTAGTTTGTTTTTTAAGGTGAGAACACTAATATCTTAGTAGACAACAGAAGAATGGGAATATGTAATTCACAAAGAGGAAATAAAAAACAGAGAAACTCTTAAAAATATTCAACTATCCAATAATCACAGAAATGCAATTGAGATCAAGACAACAATCTCAGAAATCAAAGTAATAAAAATTTAGAAAAATGGTAATATTTATTGTTGGTGAGGATTCAATTAAATGGACATTCATATGCTGCTGGGAATGTAGATTATATCACTCTGAACTTTGAGACTTACTTTTTCTAGTCAATATTTTATCATAAGCTGTTTCCCACAACAAACATCGTTCCTAACCTATTTTTGTGTGTTGCTTCATAATATGATATGGAAACATATCACTTTTACCAAGCATTCCCTATTATTGAGCTTTTTCAGGTTATAATATTTCCAATTATAAATAATACTGTGATTGATATTTTTGCACATAAATCTTAGTTCACATTTCAAAGTGAATTTTTAGGACATAGTTTAAGAAAAGAAAAATTGGGTTAAGGAATAGGAATTTTTTTGTCTTGATACATATCACTCATTGTTTTCATGCTTTTTTGTCTTTGCTCTTGCTTCTGCCTCTGCCTAGAACGTGGTGCTCTTATAAAATTAACATCCAGAAATTCCTTCCCTATTTCAAATCAAAAGCTGCCCTCTCAGTGAGTTCCTCCTTGCTAATTCCTGAGCAGACTGAAACCCTCCCTCTTAAATATCCCCCCCATGATCACATTAATCTTATTTGTTTACATGCTAATGTGTGCATGTATCAATACAATCCTTGAGGGCAAGGACTGTGTCTTTTCAACTCAATGCCCACAAATCTCTGACAATAATAAAAGCCCCACAATACTGCTGAATGAATCAATGGATAGTTAAAAGAGGACAACTCAGGCAAACCAAAACAACAGTGTTCATTCATTCAACTGGCATTTATTGAATACCTATGATGCACCATATGAAAGAAACTCAGACCTGATCTCTACTAATTCACTCCTTTTAAATAACCATTTATTGTTCTCTACTCATTTTTCTCATTAGCTTTGTTGAAGATGACTAATGATCACATAGAGAGCTAATATTAAAATAGCACTATAATTGAACTTAGGCAGAAAGCTTTCAATCTGTCCTCATCCTACAATCTCTGCCTAAACTCTTAAAAGCAGCTAGCTTTCCATGGCTACACATTTGTGTGATGGCCTCCTTTTGACCCTTTCCTTCCCAGCCAACTGAGTTGGCTTGTCTCTGCTAAACAAGCACATCTCCAGACACTGCACCCTCTCACAACCCCACAGGAAAACCAGAGTGTGTTTTCTTCCCCCATCTGCTTTATAATTTATGGTGCCTGAGTGTGGAATCCATCCCTGAAGAATTTAGAATTCTATTAGAAATATCAGTTCCCGGGCCAGGCATGGCGGTTCACGCCTATAATCCCAGCACTTTGGGAGGCTGAGGTAGGCGGACTGCCTGAGGTCAGGAGTTCAAGATCAGCCTGGCCAACATGGTGAAACCCCATCTCTACTAAAAATATAAAAATTAGCTGGGCATGATGGTGGGCACCTGTAATCCCAGCTACTTGGGAGGCTGAGGCAGGACAATCGCTTGAACCCAGGAGGTGGAGGTTGCAGCGAGCCAGGATCAGGCCACTGCACTCCAGCCTGGGCAACGGAGTGAGACTTGATCTCAAAAAAAAAAAAAAGAAAAGTAAAAAAGAAATATCAGTTCCCTCAAAGTAAAAGGTGAAACCACAAGAGTCCCTCCTGATAAGAGTCTTTCCATACCTCCCCCAAGTTCCTCAAACTCCCTTTCCTCCATATTTGTAGGTGGTTACAGTGTTGTGAGGAAGGTGTGATTTACAGGAAAATACAAATTTCTTTGCATAAGCTCCTCACTGAGTCAGGCTGGGCAAGAAGATTAACTTCTATGGCAAGTGAAAGTTCCTAGAGCCTGCCTCTAGTCTCTAGAGGGAAAACTGAGGGAAATCTATAGGGAGGTACGAGCTGTACAAGCTTCAGCAGATAAAGGTGGAAATGCAATTTCTGTAGAGGACCGTCATCAGGGGAAAGTGGTGCATGTAAGGCCTCCCCAGGATATGAAGGACCAAGGGAGGTTTGTCTTGTTTTGTTTTTGGAGGCCTGTCTGTGTAACTTATTTGATCCATCCAATATCAACATATCAAGCACCCTTCTCACTGTCCAGCATGTCATCCTCAGGAATAAATACAGAACCAGCAATGGGAAAGATCTGCTCACCAGTCCAACACACCTGAATCAGGACAACCCACACGCAGGATGAGTTCCTGAGCTCCTCCTCCTGAAGGAATCTGGTTCACCACCCAGGTGACAGGGGATTAGAGAACACCTCAAAGGTGAGAAACAGGGACTAGAGCCCCCCTGGATGGCACTGCCAGACCAAGCCCTTCTCAAGCACCAAAAGAATACCTGAGACATTTCAAGGAAGACTCTCCAAAGTGTAGGGTCGCCTGAGGCCCAGAGCCCAAAGCAGAGGCCCTGTCTGCTCAGCTCTGTGGGCTTTTCTGAGAAAGGCATTATAAAGGCATTTCCACAGGATAGGGAGCTGGTCATTTCACAAGCCCAAGACTGGATCAGAATGCAAGGCCTTCCTCATACACTACATCATTCTTGTTGGCATAGGCTGTCGGCAACTTGAGGTCCCCAAGCAACATTTCTCCAGCACTTAACATTGAGACAGGCACATAGAATGTTGTCAAATAAAAGTCCTAATTCAAAGCATGTTTGTTTTGTAATATGCAGAAAAGTGTCTTGGAGTAATAAATGGTGCCTTGAAGTTAGGGTAGAAGGCTTGGTTCAGCCTCTCTGGGTTTCAGTGACCTCATTTTAAGATGAAGGAGATGATAAGAAGGTCCCTTAAGACCTTCGAACTTTAGATCCTACAACTTGAATATCTATGGCTTGCCCTTATCAGGAAGAGCTCAGTGGCTTCTTAAGAAGATGAAAGGGCTTTAACCCTATAACTCTAGTTGCCAAGGCTTAATTCATGTAAGAAACTATTCATTCCCCATCAGCTACAGGCTTGGAGTCAGGTTGCAGATGCAATAATAACTCTGCTAGTAACTTGAGCTCATGGTGCACGCCCCCAATATCAGCGCTTGTGAGGCTGGGGTGGAATTTTTTTGCTCCTGTTCCAAGGTATTTGAATTGGAGTGCTCTGGAGACAAGGTACAAGCAGAAAGTGCTGAGACATAGAGTGAAGCCCCACTGTGAGGCCATGCCCTGGAGACCACAGACTCTAATGTTGAATGGGGAATCATGAAGCCGTTAGTTGGGGCTGGGAGGGAATTAAAACCCAGGGGGAATTCAGTAACTATTTTAAGAAACAGAAAAAAATCCATTTCTTCTAACTTGGATCTCCATTGTCTCAGTGAAGAGTAGCTGAGTCACCCACTCACTCATGATCTCATGGAATCCATTAGCTCTGGCTGAGTCTCACTCATCTATCAGTTACTATGATCAGATAAAGTGGAATGGAGTGATGGTTGGAGAAAGCCCAGAAGACCCGGCTTTGGGCAGAGGCAGTGAGTGATTTGGGGGCAGGGAGAAGAGAAGCAGGACATTTTTTCTAGCTCATAAATTGCAGATGAAATCACCAGAAAGGGCTGCCAATAAAGCAATGCCCAGTAATCCTGCACTCAGGCAGAATTCTAAGGCCAGGGAGGCCCTAGAAGATTGGTCCTTTGGAGGGAGAATATCACCTAACACTATTCCAAGCACAAGGAGCTACTAGGACAGCCAACAGGAGACTAAGGTGAAGAATTTGCTTATGAAGCTTGCTTGAAGACCAAACATATCCATCTCCTCCCGTTGCCAAGGTGTTTAAGCCCAGGTACTCCGACCTCCACAATCTCATAACATGAGACTGACCCTGAGGGTAAAGAGATAAATCATAGCATGACCTTCCTGCTGAAAACCTGAGAGGGCATTAAGAAGGTGGGGATACTAAAGATGTTATCCTCTGTGAGGGTGAGACCAGCATGGTCTTGAGCAAAACACTTCCTGACTTCCTGTGTCCTTGGGGCAGCTCCAGAGAAAATGAAGGTGAGCGGTGAGGGAGCTATCCCAGCCTGTGAGCAGCCCGAGTCCTCTTTCTGGAAGTGTGGAGCAATGGTCAGAGAATACAATGGGCTTCAAGACCTGGTCTCTGCTAGGAAGATCCAACCCATTTCCAATTGGCTATGATACTTATAAAGCAAGGCAAGCCAGCAGAGTTTAAAATCCTGGAAGACACACTGATGACAACATCTGATAACCCAGTTCCAAAGGTTGGGTTCAATATTACACTGTGAGAATCCAAAAGGATCAGAGGGGATGTGGCTGTACTTTGGAAAAGGTCAAGCACGTGGCCAGTGGAAATGGTCCTTATTATTATCAAAATCTTCAGGCCCATCCTGGGAATGACGGCACAAAGGGACAGCCTCCCGCAGAAAGTGTTGAGACGTGGAGTAATCACAAGCTTTCCTAAGGTCACAAGATGAGTCATTCGCAGACAAGTAATCTGTCTGCCTCAATAAATTTCCCTACTTAGTGAGTTTGGACAGCTCAAAGACAGCTTTAGTGCAGATAAACAAGCTTGTCCACAGTGGAACAAACGAGCAAGAGGTAGCACACTCTGGCCCAGTGTCATTTCCTCCTCCCTACTTCTATAAAAAGCACCCCCAGAAAAGTTTAAGCCCCAGCTGAGTTCATTAACAGACCAAACACTAGAAGCCTATTTCAAATAGACAGCAAAGTTTTAATGTGAATGCTGTCCCCACATGCCCCTCCAATTCAGATCTTTCCCTGCTCCAATCTCTGTCGGTTCCCCCAGACAACTCTAAAAGACTCTGAACTTTTTTCTTCCCTCCAGTGAGAGAAACTTTGCTCCCTTTCAAGCTGGTGGCTGCTGCTTCGCAGTCTCTCAGAATGAGTTCTCTCCCAGAAGGCACCTCATTCCCTCATGCAATAGAGCTCTTGGGAGGTGTGCCAACTGATGTTTCAGACATGTTTGGATGGGGCAGAACTCTGCATGTGCAGCCAGCCTGGTATCAGGGGGAAAAAAGGTAACAAATATGAAGTGCCTAGCATAGCACCTACTCAGTACATTCTGGCTTTCATTCATTACTACATAGGAAATTCACCAATAATTTTTTTTAAAATATTTCTTTTCAATGTATTTATTTAATTTTATTTATTCATTTTTTTTTGAGACAGAATCTCACTCTGTCTCACAGGCTGGAGTGCAGTGGTGTGATCTTGGCTCACTGTAACCTCTACCTCCTGGGTTTGAGTGATTCTCCTGCCTCAGCCTCCCAGGTAGCTGGGATTACAGGAATCCACCACCATGCCCAGCTAATTTTTGTATTTTTAGTAGAGATAGGGTTTCATCACGTTGGCCAGGCTGGTCTCAAACTCCTGATCTTAGGTGACCCACCCACCTCAGCCTCCCAAAGTGCTGGGATTACAGGCATGAGCCACAATACCCAGCCCTCATTTATTTATTTTTAAGACAGGATCTCAATTTGTCCCCCAGGCTGGCATGCAATGGCATAGTCATGACTCACTGTAGTCTCAAACTCCTGGGCCCAAGCAACTCTCCCACCTCAGCCTCCTGAGTAGCTGGGACTACAGGTGTGCACCACCACACCCAACTAATTTCTTGTAGAGACAGGGTCTGCCTACGTTGCCCAAGCTGGTCGCAAACTCCTGGCCTCAAGCGGTCCTCCCGCCTTTGCCTCCCAAAGCACTGAGATTACAGACATGAGCCACCATGCTCAGCCTCGTTTGAATTTAATTAAGAGCCTATTATTATCTAGGCGCTGGGCTAGGAGGAATGGAAAATAACAAGATACATATAATTTGATTTCTACTTTAGGAAGTACAGAATTTAGGGAGGAGAAAAGACACCCAGGCCAATATAGTACAGAGTCCAATAGAATGCATGTCGAAAGAAGGTCTGAACAAATCTCTGGAGGATGTTTGAGGAGAGTAGATTCCTTTTCTCTGATGAAATGGAGCAGGTGGCATCCAGTGAAGTCTGGAGACTGGGTAAGACTTCTACCACTGCACAAGGCAGCATGGCATTCCAGAGGAAGGGAGAGACCTGGGGAAGAAGAGGGAATGCCACACTCAGAGATAGCTGGCTGGAAAGCGAGATGAGAGCAGGAATGAGAAACCACTCTGGAAAGGGAAGCTGAGGCACATTCCTGATGGCTTTGAAGTGAAGTGAGACCAACTAGAGGGCTATCATAGCAGTTTAAGTCTGACCATAACTGTTCCCACTAGCATGGGACTCATGAGGAGCCGAAGGAAGGAAGTTGGCACAAGCCAACACAAGTGTGTGCAGCATGGTGGGTATTTGGGAAGTGGAGGAGGCCTGAAATAGCTGCCTGCCCTGGGCTGAGGGCTGGCACAAGGCCACAGAGGGTTAGTGACATTGCTCTTCATGTCCCTTCTCTCTAGCAAGTATGTGGTTGGAGCTTCTGTTGTAAATCTTGCCCTGAGTACTATCTGGAGACAGAGCTTCATTGGAGGACAGCTGCACATCTAATTTTAGGTTCCTGCTAGAGAAGTAGGGCAGGTCTAATCTCCACAGGAGGGAGGAGTCATCATGACACAACACTGGGCATCTGCTCCTACAAAGGCATCCCGGAATAACTCTCCCATAGCATGCTAGCATTTGGAGGATGATACTTAGTAGAGCTATCCATGCCCCCTGACATGCGACTTTATCCCTTCCCTGCAAGACCCCCCTTGAGCCCACAGGTTCTGTCAACCAAATGGCTTGAGTAGAATTCATTTGGGTATGTCTTAGTTACTATTCTCAGGATGGAGTTTGTGAAAGATGGAAATTGGCAGGACGTTCTCATCTCCAGACTCTTCCCCAGCCTCTGCCATCTGATCTGCAGCAGGCAACCAGACATCCCATAGTATTTGTATTAATAATGATTAACAATGTCATAGCATGTCAAAGCACACGATGTCTTTACACATTATTTGTTATTGCCCACAATAAACCTAGGAGGTAAGACTTGACATTCATGCTTTAAGAAATGTCAAAGTTTAGTTAAGAAAAGTTAAATGACTCGCCAAGGAATCTGGTAGAAGGAGGCTTACAGAGCAGGTCTTCCAATTTCATTACCTTTGTTCTTATCTTGCTGTTGATGAGTAAGGATAAGATAGAAAACAAGGTAGCTTTGGGAAAGAATTCAAAAGCAGAGGGAATAGATATTTAGCCTTTGAGAGGAAATAGCCAACTGATGGAGGAGTAAGACTCCTCTATCATTAAGCAAATTGTTCCATGGGTATAAGCCATTTAGATGGAAAAGAAATTTAAGCAAACTTTAACTGCATATGATCGTCTTACATATGATGGTTGTAGAAATAAAATGCTGGAAATAGACTGTATAAGATACGCCAGTGGTGGCTTAAGAGCTGAGGCTCATGTATCAGACAGGGTTTAAATCCCAGCTCTCTCACTTAAAACCCAGCATGTTACTTAACTTCTTTCAGTTTCAATTTATTTTCCGGTAAAATTGGGGGCAATAATAGCACCCGCCTTGCAGAGCAGATGAGAGGCTCAAAGGAAGTAATGCATGCTAAGAGCTTAGCACAGTGCAGGGCACCTCATAAACACCATGCCAATGACAGCTATATTGTAACGGTTGGTGGAAAAGCCTCTTTCCTACAGAGGTTTGGTTTTAATATGGCATTTGACTGAAGAAGGAAAACCATCTTGCCCAAAATTTACAAAACAAATCAGACATGTAGAAATATGCCTGGAATCCCTGGAAGGCTCCTTTTGTGATTGGGAGCACCCTACTCTCACTCCCTTAATCCCTGGTATTACTTTCCCACTTGCCTCTGACACTTTGATCAGATCTGTGCCTGAATTCAACTCCCTTTGCAGGAGGAAAAGAAAGCATTAAAAATGGCAACTAGTGTGAGTCTCTGAGGAAGAGGTTTCTATGCTTTGTTGATTTCTCCCCGCTACCCCACAAGTTTGGCCTGAATGAGGAAGACAATAAAAGCTATGTGAGCACCCCAGAAGGAAGAGACCTAGTGCCTTGATACCCATGGCTATGTGGGAAGAGCTTCCTAGGGGAGCCTTCCAAACAACATGGTACCCAAGTGGCAGAGGAGAAGACTGAGTGAGACCCGTATGTGGATGAGCCCAGCAAATATCACAAAGATTTGCACATAATCTAAAGGAAGAAACCAGATATTCCTGACCTTCTGAACAGCTGAATTATGACAGCATCAGATTAGAAGAAGCCTTGTGAATAGGGCAGAAAGATAAAGTTCATAGATTGGTAACCAAAGAACATGTTGAGACTGCAGATGTCAGCAGCAAAGGCCTGCACACAATGATAAAAATGAGACATATCCAAGTCATATATATGTCCAAATGGACATGAGATGATTGAGGACAGTCTGTGTTTTTCCATCAACACCCCAGCACTACCATGGCTTCTTAGAACTCAGATGTACCCCAGGAAGTGGGGGGAGAAGAGTGAAATCCCTGGATGAACCAAAGACTCACTAATTTGACTTAGATTCCTGATAAGACACTGGTTTATATTTCTTGTTATCTGACATAAATGTAAATTTAAGACAGAGTAAAATATAATCATAGAAAATAAATTTTTTTGGTCCCTGAGTTTTTTATTTTGAAGTTTTTTACCTACTAGATGAGGGTTCTTAGCAGAATTTAATTGAATTCCACCTTGCAATAAATTCACACCCTGGAGAAGATGTTTCCAAAATGAGAGACATAGAACACTGACCCCTCCTTCCCCTAAAAAAGGTGATCTCAAAAAAAAAAAAAAAAAAAAACCACAGTTCCCTGACTAAATCAATTTTGGATCAGGGTATACTAAATAACAGATATTCTCAATATGTATTGGCTTTACAAAGGCTCTGAGAAGTCTTACAGTAAAGAAACCAGCATTCAATCCAGTATTTCTCAACTTACTGGATGAGAATTTTTTTTCACTGAGATATAATGTATTTCACTCTACGAAATGCTTGGTGTAGAGAGCTGCAGGTGAGAATGGATGATAATGGCATAACTGTAGTGACCCAAGAGAAAAATAATCAGGTGGAATATGAGGCTAAGATTGACGCTGAGATGCAGAAAATATCATGGTTGGGCATGGAAATGTTACTTGCCAAATGATCCCATCTATCTTGGAAATTGGCTGAATTTCTTCTAATATTCTTTCAAGGTCCTCGCTGAGTCACTCCCATAAATGATAGATCTTAATAGTCCCGAATATCTCTAAAGCCTTCATGTCTAACCATCTCCCTTTTTAACTTGATGATTCACTCCACTCCAGCAAGCAGAGGCAGGGAGAACAGGCTGAGTTTCATTTTCCAATCATAAAAATACATCTCAAGACTAGCACATGACCATGATGGACTATTATAAGGCCCAGAACTCATGCCAGAAGTTTAACTGGCTGTCTCTTTAGAGACCCTGTCATTTATGAAATGTCTTTTGAGGATTATATTTATTTATGGTAGATTTGCTGCGAGTAAAAAGTATATACCTGAGGGCTTCAGGCAAAAAGAACATGAGGTTTCGAGTCTGAAAGATCTGGAATCAAATCTCAACTCTACTATTTGCTACCACAGGGACCTTGGATAAGGCTCTCGACATATTTTAACTTGCTCGTCTGAAAAAGAGAATAATAATATACCCATTCAGGGTTTTGATGAGAATTAGAGGAAATGACTCATGGGTGTGGAGGGATGTAAACTGAGAAAGGATAAAGACATGGTACCATATTTCCAAAGGAGAAATGACCACTAAACTGAGCTGGAAGCATCATGAAAATACATGTAGGGCAATCTCCATCTCTCCATCTGTTACAAAAGGGGCAGAAGTATTACATGGCACTCTGTACCTGATTGCTTGGGTGCGCTTTCGGGTGTAAGGAGTAATAACCTTGAAAAGCAGTTCCATGGCTCCATTAATTCCCAGCATGGCTCCCATGGAGACTAAGAAAAACAAAAGCACAGTAGTTATGGTCACAAGTGGATGAGTTAAGGCTCAAGACAACTTGGATTGACTCCTTTAAATCTTTAAGGGGCAACTTGATAAACAAGATAGCTCCCTTTCTTTTCCACCCTGGTTGCACATTCCTCTATAATGTCATTCTCGGGTCTCCCATGACTAAGGTAATGACTTGACTGTGCCGCAACTAGAATGTCAAATGAAGAATCAGTTCTTCCTGCTCAGCAGTAACTAGACTGGGAAGTTTTTGCCTTTTTGGCCAATTGGGTGATTATCAAAACATTTTCATAGATCTGAATGATAGAAAGAAACTCCAAAGAGGTATCTGGTTAGGTAAATACAACTTTTGGATATTACTCTTGTCTCCAAGGATGCCCCAGCGTCTCTCCAACATTCCCAGTACCCTATTCCACTTAGATCACTTTAGGTAGAGCTCTGCTCATGTCAGAAAATAAGAGGAGTCCACAGACACTCTCGTCTGTCTTTCCTCCACTGGACTTGTGTTTTTAAGACAAAGACCTATGAATGCCTTGTGCTTTAGGCTAGCCTTGATCTGAGAAAAGTGAGTGGGAACAAGAGGTCTTAGAGAAGCAAAGAGAGGGAAACAAGGGTGGATGATACTGAATTGCTCCAACCCTCAGGAAAGGAAGCTAAATGGAAATCTGAAGCTTCCTCATCTCACTACAGTCTTTCAGATAGAGACTGAGGCTGATGTCTTTGCTATTGCAGAGTGCATGTTCCTGGAACATCGTCCATGCATATGTCCCTCCTGAGGCTAGTACATGAAGTAATTGCCTGGATCAAAATTCAGAGATTTGGCATCCTAGTCCTGCCCATCAATCTTCCACTCTTGTGGCTACTCATTCAGCTCTTACTTCCGAATTGGGAAAACAGACTAGAGAAAACTCTTGGCAAGTAATTAAAAAAAATTCTGGTATTGAGTAAGGGAGGAGTTAATTTTAAAAGCACTGATTCTAACATGGAAGATTTTAGGCTTGAAATTGGAAGAGGATAACAATAAGAAATCCTCACTGAGTTCACTTTTGTGGATGCCTGTCCGAGGTTAGAGCTCCGGCAGCTCTGTGAACATCCTCATTGGCCATCTGAGAACTTCCAAAGGGTTCATTGGCTCTCACAGACCCATTAGGGTTCCAGCCAACTCCTTCTGAAGATAGGAGCTGTTTAGAAAGCTTTGCTGGAACATTCAACAGTGGCTAACAATTGACGGAAAAGATAGTAATCCGCAGGCTTCTTGAACTCTGCTTACCTCTCATCAGTAAAGTGAATGTATGGAGAGTGACAGTATAATTTTTTTAAATACCTTATGGAACAGTGAGTTGGTACAATCAACGTAGGCTTAGAAGATGAATCAGATAGCCACCTCCTCATACCCACAGGAAAATCCCAGGACTTCTCAGAACTCAGCTGAAGGAATTTTTCTAAATCTCCATAACCATTATATTTAAGGAAGGCAAGTTTTTCAGCCTATTTATGCTTTAGGAAACCAGGAAATGCTTCAAATTTCGCTCTGCTGGCACACTGCAAATGTGGGTGGCACACCTTCTGTCTATTCATTAATGAGAGTTGTCCTTTATATAAAGCCACAGTTCCTCTTTTCCTTTATTAGAGATGGGTGTATGCAAATCTACTCAGCCTTTCCCTAATGCTCTCTGGTGTTCAGGTCAATATACGGGAGATAGGTGAGTAGAGGCTCCATCTGTGAACAAGGATTCAAGCATCTATCCCATTATTCCCCCAGAAATACCTTCTTTTTATGAATCCTCCATGTTTATTAAGAGAATTTACCAATGAAAATCAGGTTATTGTGGCCAGGCACAGTGGCTCACACTTATAATCTCAGCACTTTGGGAGGCTGAGGTGGGTGGATCACCTGAGGTCAGGAGTTCAAGACCAGCCTGGCCAACATGGTGAAACTCCGTCTTTACTAAAAATACAAAAATTAGCCAGGTGTAGTAGTGCACAACTGTAATCCCAGCTAGTCGGGAGGCTAAGGCACGAGAATCATTTGAACCCAGGAGGCAGAGGCTGCAGTGAGCCAAGATCATGCCACTACATTCCAGCCTGGGTGACAGAACGAGACTGTCTAAAAAAAAAAAAAAAAGAAAGAAAAGAAAAAAGAAAGAAAAGAAAAAAAATCAGGCATTTTAGTAGTTCTTGGGGTAATTAGAAATAAAAAGTCACCTATTAACTCCCCATATCTGTACTCATTCTACTATTTCAAAAGACTAAGGGAAAAGCATAGGGCGGGGAAGAGAAACTAGCAATTATCAAGCAGTTGCCATGTGACGAACATGCCCATGAACATTCTCCCATTCACCCCATCTACCAAGTCTATGAGCTCCATTATGGCTAGTTGTGTCCACTCCTAAATTCATACATTGAAGCCCTAATCTTCAGTACCTCGGAGTAGGACTGTATCTGGAGATAGGGCCTTTAGAGAGGGAACTTAAAATGAGGCCATTAAGGTGGGTCCTAGTCTAATGTGGACTTATGTCCTTATAAGAAGGGAGAATTTGGACACACAAAGAAACATCAAGGATGCCCAAGCATAGAAGAAAGACCTTGTGAGGACACAGGGAGCAGCCAGCCATCTGGAAGCCAAAGAGAGGGGCCAGTAGAAACCAAATCTGCCGACATCCTGAGCTCCAAATTGTAGCCTTCAAAAATGTGAGAAAAAAAGGGCATGGTGGCTCACGCCTGTAATTCCAGTAATTTGGGAGGCCAAGATGGGCAGATCACCTGTGATCAGGAGTTCGACACCAGTCTGACCAACATGGTGAAACCCTGTCCCTACTAAAATATAAAAATTAGCCAGGCATGATGGCAGGTCCCTGTGATCCCAGCTACTCGGGAGGCTGAGACAAGAGAATTGCTTGAACCTGGGAGGCAGAGATTGCAGTGAACTAAGGTCACACCAGTGCACTCCAGCCTAGGCAAAAGAGTGAGACTTCATCTCAAAAAAATAAAAAAAAATTAAAAAAATAAAGTGAGAAAATACATTTCTTTTGTTTAAGCCACATAGACTGTGATATTTTGTTAAGGCATTAAGGCAGCCCTAGCAGAGTAATGGTAATCATTATTACTACTGTAATTTTGTAAAGGATGAAACTGAGGTTCAACAGGGTAAGTATTCATGCTTTATGACTCATTAAAAAAAGAACCACAGTCAAACTCAGGTCTTTTTGGCTCTAAGCCCACGTTCTTTCCCCTATCAACTATATAACCTCTAAATAATTGTCACTTTCATTTCATAGGAAGGGAACTCGGAAAGGAGAAATGAAAGTCTATGCTCATTACATATCAGATAGAAGGTATAGGATCTAACGTATTAATAAAAAGTTTCCATATGGAATAGAATTAAAATGAGCTCTGGAGTTAGAAATTCCACCCTCCTGACTTTTTATCTGTATGAATTCAAGCAATCGCTTCACTTTTTTTATTTTTTTAAGACAAGGTCTCACTCTGTCACCCAGGCTGGAGTGCAGGGTCACAATCAATGCTCACTGCAGCCATGACTTCCTGGGCTCAAGTGATTCTCCTTCCTCAGCCTTCCAAGTAGCTGGGACTATAGGCACATGCCACCATGCCCAGCTAAGTTTTTGTATTTTTAGCAGAGACCAAGCTGGTCTCAAATGCCTGGGCTCAAGCGATCTGACCACCTCATCCTCCCAAAGTGCTGGGATTACAGGCGTGAGCCACCATGCCTGGCCCTGCTTTACTCTTTAAAGTTTCTTTTTCAAAACTATAAAATTATGGGTCTAAATACAAAATTACTATGATAATTAGAAATAAGTCAAATCAAGAGATAGCAAATAAATATCAACTGAGCAATGATGTTCCTAATAATTACCTGGAGGACCCTGTTGAGAAGGATCATGGGTTTTTTTAAATGGTAAGGGATGTTGTAATCAATGAGTAATTTCAGGAATATGGTAGGGAGATTTGTGATGTGAGAGTCATTCTGCCCAGATATAACACTTGAATGTGACAAGGACTAAATAAAGTCTGCCCTTCTCCTGTCACAGACCTTTTTTTACCTTGTAGTACGAATAGAAAAGCCTACAATGCTGTAATGTGTAACTGCCAAGGAGAAACAATATTGAAGTCCATCTCTAGGAGCAGACTCAAGAGCTCTACCCAGCTAAGGAGAAGATGATGAAGTAACTTCTCACCTCCACAGCCTCTGGATTGTCAGTCTCTTTTATTTATCTGGCTGGGACCACCATGTGTATCTCTCACCCATGCTTTTCTTCCAACCAGACCCTCATGCAGTTTCCATGTGTCCCAGCCCAGGTTTGGAAGCCATCCCCGAGAGCCACAATAGAGTCACTTACCACTGGAGGCAAACACACGCAGAGCCCAGAGACAGTGGAGGAGATTCTGGCCATGGGATAGGTTCTTCCTGGCCAGAATCAATGTCACATCAAGTGCTTCCAATTCTAGGGCCTTCCGTCCAATCTTTTTATCTAAGAACACAAATCAATCTATCTTAGTTGCACTTCACATTGATTCTGGATTGTACAATGAGTACAGTGGAGGAAGGGGAAGATGGTGAAGGAGGAGGATAATCATAGCCAAAGACATTTTTCAGACCTAGTGACAAATGCTGCTAAATATGTCCCCACTAGAACCAAATGAATCAAAAGAGCTAATTCAGGCTACACATATTTACATGGAAGCTTGTGGGTTGAATAACTCTCAAGCCCCTATATTTAGGTTGTCCTCATACATTAACCACAGTTCAATTGGGAATAAAGTTGTTCCTTTAAGACGATTCTAGAATTAAGAATATTGAATATTCTTAATATTAATATAATTCTTAATATAACATTCAAATGTAGTATGTCAACTTGGATTGGATCTTGCTTTGACTATGTCTATAAAAGACAGTTGGGAACATTTGGAGAAATTGGAATGAATATAAATTACACACGTATTTTTAATTTTATTAGGTTTGTAATAATGGTATTGTGATTATGTAGGGAAATGTCTCTTTTCAAAGAAATGCACTTGAAAGGATTTAGGAAGAAAATGCTAACCTGCAATTTCTCTTAAAATATTTCAGATAAAAATAAATAGGTGAAGAAAATACGGCAAAATGTTAACATTGGTTAGAACTAAGTTTTAGGTATATAATAGGCCATCTCTCTACATGAGAGAGAGTTTTCATAATAAAAAGTCAAAAGACATTGTTAAGAAAATAAAATTATCCCCTCTAATGTTTCTTTCTTTTTTAAAAAATAATTTAAGTTCTAGGGGACATGTGCACAACGTGCAGGTTTGTTACATATGTATACATGTGCTGTGTTGGTTTGCTGCACCCATCAACCCGTCATTTACATTAGGTATTTCTCCTAATGCTATCCCTCCCCCTGCCCCCCACCCCACGACAGGCCCCGGTGTGTGATGTTCACTGCCCTGTATCCAACTGATCTCTGTTCAATTCCCACCTACGAGTGAGAGCATGCAGTGTTTGGTTTTCTGTCCTTGTGACAGTTTGCTGAGAATGATGGTTTCCAGCTTCATCCATGTCCCTGCAAAGGAAATAAACTCATCCTTTTTTATGGCTGCATAGTATTCCATGGGGTATATGTGCCACATTTTCTTAATCCAGTCTATCATTGTTGGACATTTGGGTTGGTTCCAAGTCTTTGCTTTTGTGAATAGTGCCAAAATAAACATATGTGTGCATGTATCTTTATAGTAGCATGATTTATAATCCTTTGGGTATATACTCAGTAATGGGATTGCTGGGTCAAATGGTAATTCTAGTTCTAGATCCTTGAGGAGTCACCACACTGTCTTCCACAATGGTTGAACTAATTTACACTCCCACCAACAGTGTAAAAGCATTCCTATTTCTCCACATCCTCCCCAGCATCTGTTGTTTCCTGACTTTTTAATGATTACCATTCTAATTGGCATGAGATGGTATCTCATTGTGGTTTTGATTTGCATTTCTCTGATGACCAGTGATGATGAGCATTTTCTTCACATGTCTGTTGGCTGCATAAATGTCTTCTTTTAAGAAATGTCTGTTCATATCCTTTGCCCACTTTTTGATGGGGTTGTTTTTCTCTTGTAAATTTGTTTGAGTTCTTTGTAGACTTTGGATTAGCCCTTTGTCAGATAGGTAGATTGCAAAATTTTTCTCCCATTCTGTAGGATGCCTGTTCACTCTGATGGTAGTTTCTCTTGCTGTGCAGAAGCTCTTTAGTTTAATTAGATCCCATGTGTTTCCTTTGGTTTTTGTTGCCATTGCTTTTGGTGTTTTAGTCATGAAGTCCTTGCCCGTGCCTATGTCCTGAATGGTATTGCCTAGGTTTTCTTCTGGGGTTTTTATGGTTTTAGGTCTAACATTTAAGTCTTCAATCCATCTTGAATTAATTTTTGTACAAGGTTTAAGGAAGGGATCCAGTTTCAGCTTTCTACATATCGCTGGCCAGTTTTCCCAGCAACATTTATTAAATAGGGAATCCTTTCCCCATTTCTTGTTTTTGTCAGGTTTGTCACAGATCAGATCGTTGTAGATGTGTGGTGTAATTTCTGAGTCCTCTGTTCTGTTCCATTAGTCTATCTGTTTTGGTACCAGTACCATGCTGTTTTGGTTACTGTAGCCTTGTAATATAGTTTGAAGTCAGGTAGCATGATGTCTCCAGCTTTATTCTTTTTGCTTAGGATTGTCTTGGCAATGCATGCTCTTTTTTGATTCCATATGAAATTTAAAAATAGTTTTTTCCAATCTGTGAAGAAAGTCATTGGTAGCTTGATGGGGATGGCATTGAATCTATAAATTACTTCGGGCAGTATGGCCATTTTCACGATATTGATTTGTCGTATCTACAAGCATGGAATGTTCTTCCATTTGTTTGTGTCCTCTTTTATCTCGCTGAGCAGTGATTTGTAGTTCTCCTTGAAGAGGTCCTTCACATCCCTTGTAAGTTGGATTCCTAGGTATTTTATTCTCTTTGTAGCAATTGTGAATGGGAGTTCACTCATGATTTGGCTCTCTGTTAATGGTGTATAGGAACGCTTGTGATTTTTGCACATTGATTTTGTATCCTGAGACTTTGCTGAAGTTGCTTATCAGCTTAAGGAGATTTTGGGCTGAGATGATAGGGTTTTCTAAACATACAATCATGTCATCTGCAAACAGGGACAATTTGACTTCCTCTTTTCCTAATTGAATACTCTTTATTTCTTTCTCTTGCCTGATTGTCCTGGCCAGAACTTCCAACACTATGTTGAATAGGAGTGGTGAGAGAGGGCATACTCGTCTTGTGCTGGTTTTCAAAGGGAATGTTTCCAGTTTTTTCCCATTCAGTATGATATCGGCTGTGGGTTTGTCATAAATAGCTCTGATTATTTTGAGATATGTTCCATCAATACCTAGTTTATTGAGAGTTTTTAGCATGAAGGGCTGAATTTTGTTGAAGGCCTTTTCTGCATCTATTGAGATAATCATGTGGTTTTTGTCTTTGCTTCTGTTTATGTGATGGATTACATTTATTGATTTGTGTATGGTGAACCAGCCTTGCATCCCAGGGATGAAGCTGACTTGATTGTGGTGGATAAGCTTTTTTTTTTTTTTTTTAATTACACTTTAAGTTTTAGGGTACTTGTGCACAATGTGCAGCTTAGTTACATATGTATACACGTGCCATGCTGGTGCGCTGCACCCACTAACTTGTCATCTAGCATTAGGTATATCTCCCAATGCTATCCCTCCCCCACCCCACCCCACAACTGTCCCCAGAGTGTGATATTCCCCTTCCTGTGTCCATGTGTTCTCATTGTTCAATTCCCACCTATGAGTAAGAATATGCGGTGTTTGTTTTTTTGTTCTTGCGATAGTTTACTGAGAATGATGATTTCCAATTTCATCCATGTCCCTACAAAGGACATGAACTCATCATTTTTATGGCTGCATAGTATTCCATGGTGTATATGTGCCACATTTTTTTAATCCAGTCTATCATTGAGATAAGCTTTTTGATGTGCTGCTGGATTCGGTTTGCCAGTATTTCATTGAGGATTTTTGCATCAATGTTCATCAGGGATATTGTTCTAAAATTCTTTTTGTTGTGTCTCTGCCAGACTTTGGTATCAGGATGATGCTGGCCTCATAAAATGAGTTAGGGAGGATTGCCTCTTTTTGTATTGATTGGAATAGTTTCAGAACGAATGGTACAAGCTCCTCTTTGTATCTCTGGTAGAATTTGGCTGTGAATCCATCTGGACCTGGACTTTTTTTGGTGGTAGGCTATTTATTGCTTCAATTTCAGAGCCTGTTATTGGTCTATTCAGAGATTCAACTTCTTCCTGGTTTAGTCTTGGGAGGGTGTATGTGCCCAGGAATTTATCCATTTCTTCTAGATTTTCTAGTTTATTTGTGTAGAGGTGTTTATAGTATTCTCTGATGGTAGTTTCTGTTTCTGTGGGATTGGTGGTGATATCCCCTTTATCACTTTTTATTGCATCTATTTGATTCTTCTTTTCTTCTTCATTAGCCTTGCTGGTGGTCTATCAATTTTGTTGATGTTTTCAAAAAAACAGGTCCTGGATTCATTGATTTTTTGAAGGGTTTTTTGTGTCTCTATCTCTTTCAGTTCTGCTCTGATCTTAGTTATTTCTTGCCTTATGCTAGCTTTTGCATTTGTTTGTTCTTGTTTCTCTAGTTCTTTTAGTTGTGATGTTAGGGTGTTGATTATAGATCTTTCCTGCTATCTCTTGTGAGCATTTAGTGCTATAAATTTCCCTCTACAGACTGCTTTAAATGTGTCCCAGAGATTCTGGTACATTGTGTCTTTTTTCTCATTGGTTTCAAAGAACATCTTTATTTCTGCCTTCATTTCGTTATGTACCCAGTAGTTATTCAGGAGCAGGTTGTTCAGTTTCCATGTAGTTGTGCGGTTTTGAGTGAGTTTCTTAATCCTGAGTTCTAATTTGATTACACTGTGGTCTGAGAGACAGTTTGTTGTGATTTCTGTTCTTTTACATTGACTGAGGAGTGCTTTACTTCCAATTATGTGGTCTATTTTAGAATAAATGTGATGTGGTGCTGAGAAGAATATATATTCTGTTGATTTGGGGTGGAGAGTGCTGTAGATGTCTATTAGGTCTGCTTGCTGCAGAGCTGAGTTCAAGTCCTGGATATCTTTGTTAACCTTCTGTCTCATTGATCTGTCTAATATTGACAATGGGGTGTTAAAGTCTCCCATTATTATTGTGTGGGAGTCTAAGTCTCTTGTAGGTCTCTAAGGACTTGCTTTATGAATCTGGGTGCTCCTGTATTGGATGCATATATATTTAGGAGAGTTAGCTCTTCTTGTTGAATTGATCCCTTTACCATTATGCAATGGCCTTCTTTGTCTCTTTTCATCTTTGTTGGTTTAAAGTCTGTTTTATTGGAGACTAGGACTGCAACCCCTGCTTTTTTTTGCTTTCCATTTGCTTGGTAGATCTTCTTCCATCCCTTTATTTTGAGCCTATGTGCATCTTTGCATGTGAGATGGGTCTCCTGAATATGGCACTCTGATGGATCTTGACTCTTTATCCAATTTGCCAGTCTGTGTCTTTTAATTGGAGCATTCAGCCCATTTACATTTAAGGTTAACATTATTATGTGTAAATTTGATCCTGTCGTTATCATGTCAGCTGGTTATTTTGCCCGTTAATTGATGCAGTTTCTTCCTAGCATCAACGGTCTTTACAATTTGGCATGTTTTTGCAGTGGCTGGTAGTGGTTGTTTCTTTCCATGTTTAGTGCTTCCTTCAGGAGCTCTTGTAAGGCAGGCCTGGTAGAGACAAAATCTCTCAGCATTTTCTTGTCTGTAAAAGATTTTATTTCTCCTTTGCTTACGAAGCATAGTTTGGCTGGGTATGAAATTCTGGGTTGAAAATTCTTTTCTTTAAGAATGTTGAATATTGGCCCCCACTCTCTTCTGGCTTGTAGGGTTTCTGCCAAGAGATCCGCTGTTAGTCTGATGGGCTTCCCTTTGTGGGTAACTTGACCTTTCTCTCTGGCTGTCCTTAACACTTTTTCCTTCATTTCAACCTTGGTGAATCTGACAATTATGTGTCTTGGGGTTGCTCTTCTCGAGGAGTATCTTTGTGGCGTTCTCTGTATTTCCTGAATTCGAATGTTGGCCTGCCTTGCTAGGTTGGGGAAGTTCTCCTGGATAATATCCTGAAGAGTGGTTTCCAACTTGGTTCCTTTCTCCCCATCACTTTCAGGTACACCAGTCAAATGTAGATTTGGTATTTTCACATAGTCCCATATTTCTTGGAGGCTTTGTTCATTTCTTTTTACTCTTTTTTCTCTAACCTTGTCTTCTCACTTTATTTCATTAATTTGATCTTCAGTCACTGATACCCTTTCTTCCACTTGATCGAATTGGCTACTGAAGCTTGTGCATGTGTCACGAAGTTCTTGTGCCATGTTTTTCAGCTCCATCAGGTCATTTAAGGTCTCCTCCACACTGTTTATTCTAGTTAGCCATTCGCCTAATCTTTTTTCAAGATTAGCTTCCTTGCAATGGGTTCGAACATCCTTCTTTACCTCAGAAAAGTTTGTTATTACCGACCTTTTGAAGCCCATTTCTGTCAGCTCATCAGTCATTCTCCATCCAATTTTGTTCTGTTGCTGGCAAGGAGCTGCAATCCTTTGGAAGAGAAGAGATGCTCTGATTTTTAGAATTTTCAGCTTTTCTGCTCTGGTTTCTCCCCATCTTTCTGATTTTATCTACCTTTGGTCTTTGACGTTGGTGATCTACAGATGAGGTTTTGGTGTAGATGATCTTTGTTGATATCAATGCTATTCCTTTCTGTTTGTTAGCTTTCCTCCTGACAGTCAGGTCCCTCAACTGCAGGTCTGTTGGAGTTTGCTGGAGTTCCACTCCAGACCTTGTTTGCCTGGGTATCACCAGCAGAGGCTGCAGAACAGCAAATACTGCAGAACAGCAAATATTGCTGCCTGATCCTTCCTCTGGAAGCTTCATTCCAGAGGGGCAGCTGCCTACATGAGGTGTCAGTCGGCCCCTACTGGGAGGTGTCTCCCAGTTAGGCTACATGGGGGTCAGGGACACACTTGAGGAGGCAGTCTGTCTGTTCTCAGAGCTCAAACACTGTGCTGGGAGAACCATTGCTCTCTTCAGAGTTGTCAGACAGGGATGTTTAAGTCTGCAGAAGTTGTTTGCTGCCTTTTGTTCAGCTATGCCTTGCCGATAGAAGTGGAGTCTAGAGGCAGTAGGCCTTGAAGAGCTATGGTGGGCTCTACCCAGTTGGAGCTTCCCGGCTTTGTTTACCTAGTCAGGCCTCAGCAATGGCGGACACCCTTCCCCCAGCCAGGCTGCTGCCTCACAGATTGATGTCAGACTGCTGTGCTAGCAGTGAGCAAGGCTCCGTGGGTGTGGGACCTGCCAAGCCAGGCACAGGAGAGAATTACATTGTCTGCAGGTTGCTAACCTTGGGAAAAGTGCAGTATTTAAGTGAGAGTGCCCCCATTTTTCCAGGTAGTCTGTCAGGGCTTCCCTCACCTAGGACAGGGAAATCCCCCAACCTCTTGTTCTTCTCAGGTGAGGCGACGCCCTGCCCTGCTTCAGCTTGCCCTCCATGGGCTGCACCCACTATCCAACCAGCACCAGTGAGATGAACCCGGTACCTCAGTTGGAAATGCAGTAATCACCCATCTTCTGCGTCAGTCACGCTAGTTGCTGCAGACCGGAGCTGTTCCTATTGGGCCATCTTGGAATGCCCCCTATTTCCCCTCTAATATTTCTACATTACTGTTCCAAATAACCTGACAGCTAGTGTTACAAATAGTCCTCATTATTTTAATAATTAGAAAATAAGCATTAAAAAAGAAATACTTATTTTCTGTTCTTTGCCCCCACTATGATACCTGTCAATGGGTGATGTCTAAATCATCCTGTTTCTTTTTGCAAGAATACATCACTATCAGATTTATCGGAGGTAGAAATGAGTAAAACAGAAATAAAATCCTAAACCTCGTTTACTGATATGTACCTCTGGACTAAAGGACACCAGCAAAGAGGTTGTAACTAAACCTACATAACCCATTCCCTTCATCAGAAAAGAGATATCTATCCCATTCCTTCATGAGCAGCCAACCTCATTTCTGTTCTGTTCAGGTCAGCCCATGGCAACTTGAATGTCAGTGTCAAGGACTATAACCCCTTGATGGCAGAAACTGTGGTGATGTAATCACTACAATAGTAATATCAAGGTGAATAACTTGGAAATCACTGGCCTGGTGTATCTCTCATCTCTCTCTTTCTCCTATAAAACCTGTATGACCCTAGTTTGCCAGGGCACTGAACATATGATAAGCATGTGACATGCAATACTTTGTTTAATCCTCACAGCACCCTGGAATTAAGTAGAGTCATCCCTCAGTGTCCACGTGGGATTGGTTCCAGGATTCCCACAGATTCCAAAATCCACAGATGCTCAAGTCCCTGATATAAAATGGTGTAGTATTTGCATATAATCTACACACATCCTCAGACCTTACATCATCTCTAGATTACTATAATACTTAATCTAATGTAAATGCTATGTAAATCATTGTTAAACTGTATTGCTTAGGGAATAATGACAAGAAAAAAGTTTGTACATGTTTAGTACAGATAAAATTTTTAAAAATATTTTCAATCCAAGGTTAACTGAATCCATGGGTGCAGAACCCACAGAAATGGAAGACCAACTATACAGATAGCTCTATTTTATACATAAGGGCACAAAGCTCAGAAAGTTTAAGTACTTTGCCCAAGGTCACACAGCTAATAAGTGTCAGGGCCAGGCCTGAAACCCATGTCTGACTCTCCAGCTTATACCGTTTATGACCGAGGTATATATCAAGTCTCTGTGGTCCTTTCCTGGAGTCCACCTGGCTCACTCTTTGCTTTACTGACTTCTCATTCTTCAAGTTTTAGCTCCAATGTCACCTCTCCTGACCATGCCAGTCTAAAGTAGCATCACTCTTGCTTCCTCTTACAGCCCTCATCATAGTCTGCTATCATCAAGTTATTTGTTGATTTGCTGGCCTTCTCCACTTGAACATAAGTTCCATGAGAGCAGGTCCTTAACTGCCTTGGTCATCATGGTGTTCCTAGTGCCTAAAGCACCTGGCCCTAGGAGACATGCAGTAAATATCTGTTGAATATTCACCAAACGAATTGTATTGATTTTTTCTGGGACACGCTCATGCAGGTGTTGGCAAAAGCCTAGTTCTCCATCATTATCAGCAGCATGTTGAATGGACTCAGCGTGGAGATCCAAATATTGGAAGGAAGAGTGCTCCAGACCCCCTGGGCATTTGGCTGCCACTGATAGCACTGGACATCAAAGGCCCACTTTTCAGAGGATCTGAGCTTCTCAGCTGTGACCTATATAAGACTCAGCACACAATTAGAACTTAACACTTGTGACTCGTTTGCAATGTCTGCATGAGTCCTGAGTGCCCATGCTTTTAAACTGTGCTCCAAGAACTTCTAGAGTTTTAGGGAAATGTTTCAGGGTTTTCCTTGGTGAAAGAGAAATGACTATGGAGCCTAAATGGAAAGAACTCTAGGCCCTTCTTCCATCTTCCCTTCAACTAGGAATGTTCCACTTCTGTGTGACTTGTAGTGGATTGAATAGTGGCCCCCAAAAATTCATGTCCACCCAGAAGCTCAGAATGTTATTCTTTTGGGAAACAGAATCTTTGCAGATTTTATTACAAATTAGAGTGGGCCCTAAATCCTATGACTGATGTCCTTACACAAAGAGGAAATGATACAGAGGAGAACAGCACGTGAAGATGGAGGCAGAGATCAGAGTGATGCATCTATAGTCCAAGAAACACCAAGGATTTCTGGCAACCCTCAGAGGAGAGGGGCATGGAACCGATTCTCCCTCAGAGACTCCAGAAGGAACCAACCCTGCCAACACCTTGATTTTGGACTTCTGACCTCCTAACAGTCTTCTGTTACGTTAAGCTAAACAGTTTGTGGCAATTCGTATGGCAGCTCTAGGAAACTAGGACACTTATATTATAGACTTTATTTTTTTAACTTTTATTTTAAGTTCAAGGGTAAATGTGCAGGTTTGTTACATAGGTAAACTTGTGTCATGGGGGTTTGTTGTACAGATTATTTCAGCATCCAGGTATTAAGCCTAGTACCAATTAGTTATTTTTTCTAAGCCTCTCCCTCCTCTTACCCTCCATCCTCTGACAGGCCCAAGTGTGTGTTGTTCCCCTCTGTGTGTCCATATGTTCTCATCATTTAGCTCCCACTTGTAAGTGACAGCATGAGGTATTTGGTTTTCTGTTTCTGCTTTAGTTTGCTAAGGATAATGGCCTCCAGCTCCACCCATGTCCCTGCAAAGGACATGATCTCATTCTTTTTTATGGCTGTATAGTATTCCATGGTGTATGTGTACCACATTTTCTTTATCCAGTCTAGATGGGCGTTTAGGTTGAGTCCGTGTCTTTGTAATTATGAATAGTGCTGCAATGAACAAATGCATGCAGGTGTCTTTATAATAGAATTATTTCTATTCCTTTGGGTATATACCCAGTAACGGGATTGCTGGATCGAATGGTATTTCTGTCTTTAGGTCTTTGAGGAATCACCACACTGTTTTCCACAATGGTGGAACTAACTTATACTCCCACCAACAGTGTATAAGTGTTCCTTTTTCTCCACAACCTTGTGATGCAACTTTTAGACATGTTCCATTTATTTTTAAAATAATTAAAAACTGCATTGGAGTATCTCCCCTCCTTTCCCCCATATTATCCATGCCCCATGTAGCCCATGTTTGTTCTGGGCTCTGTCCTGAGCACCATACCTTGGATGAGCTGACATCAAAGTCAACAAAATGGCCTCTCCTATGGGGCTGGTCCTGCCATCACCATCAAGTTGTCCAGAACCTCCCTGACGCTTTCTCCCTGTGCTACTCCACCAAAGCTTCCCAAATTGCACTCATGATAACAACCCTAGAAGTGCCTTTTCAGTCAGCTTTAGGTCTTGGAGTACGAGTACCTCTTAGGCCAACTTTGGCCAGCAGCCGGAAGAGAGGCAGGAGGATGTCATAGTCTGGAGGAGCTGTCCTCGCTGTGTCTACCAGGGTCTGCAGAAGAGCTTCACTGCCACCCTTGCTGATCATGTAGTGAATTCTCCGGTCTGTGCCTGAGGGGAAACCGGAGGAAAGATGAGCCACAAGTAATAATCCCCATTTTCCTTGGAGCAGAAGACAGACCTCCCAACTAGAGACAGAGCAAGAATTAGTTCATTTCAACTACGTAAAATTATGTAGTTCTTGAAGCAACCTGTGTTAAAGTTGTACTATCAGTTAAGGGAAGAGGGTTGTGAAATAGGAAAATAGTGGAATATTTAAGAACCTAGTTGTGTTCAGCTGCAACAGCTGTAATAAATAGAGCTTATCTGAGATTCTGTTGAATATTCAGTATATGTATGTATACATGTGTGTACATGTATGTAAATATGCATATGGGCTTTTGAATAATCATATACTTAGAAGAGAGAATATCAGTATCCCTCTGCTATACATTTGAATCTTCTGTAACAAGGATTGGGATGATGGCCTAATCTGGAATCATTGTATTGATGGCATAATGATTTTCTGATGCTAGCCTTCAGAAATTGATGGAAGAAAATTACAGAAACCACTGCAGTAGTCCCTTGAGAAAGAAACATCCAATCATCCTATCTAGGGAATTTTGAAGACAGTCTAGAGCTATGACGAACTATTGGTCTTTCTACCTAAGTACAATTTTGAACAGGGACCTCCTCCACCTTGCCCAAGGACAAACTCAAAAGCAACGATTTCATTACAACTTGGCCTTGGTTGATTCTCTCTATGTACGGGGCAAAGTTGACTTAACCAAGGTGGCCAACAGGGTGGTACATTATCAAAGACGACCATCTGATTTTTTGTCCTAATGAAAAGTAGCATTCTCTGCAAGAGGCAAAGTAATCACCACCTTATCAGAGGGAGAACTTCAAGGTTTTGTCTTAAGAGTTTCAGACACCTCTGGACAAATGTAAGACAGCACTATCCCAGAAGACGAGTGACTTCACTTACACAGGCCCCACGTGAAAGACTAAATGTAAGTCATCCTGCCAGTGGAACGCAGCACAAACCATGGAAAGACCCCAATACAATGGGCCCCTTCCTCTTGAAACCATAATCCTGAGGATCTATGGGTCTGGAGTGTCATTTATTTCTGATATTGCCTGTTCAGTGTTAATATTTCTTTCTAAAGTAATGAGGCAAGCATACATAAAAATGCAAATTGAGTGAATGTTGGAATGTTCAAAAATCTCAGTAAGAACTTGAGCGAATAGAAGCATGCTCCAGTTAATCCAGTTGATTCCAATGTAGTCAACTCTGTTATCTTATCTCTGAAAACGTGATGCTTACATGCTTTCAAGTTCAGCTTCTGCCTGATATTCCTGCCTCTACTTCAAATAGCCAAAGCAGCTTCTGATACTCAGCTCTCTTAAATAGGTCACAATGGAAGCGAGCAGGGCGAGAAGAGGGGTAGAACCACGGAGGGTTACTACTAAATCTAATTTCCTCCTCAGTGTCGGGTGAGAAGACTGAGGAGTGCAAGTACAAACAGTCCAGGTTACTTGGGTCTTATTAACCTTAGAGAAAAAAGATGGGCTAGTGATGCTGCCTCTCACAGGAAACTGAAGCAAGAGCAAACCCCCAGGTCACAGAGGTGCCTGGGAGAGATCACAGCCAGCAGGCTCCACATCCGCCATATGAAAGCATGAGAGCATGGCCTACTCACCAACAGAAAGCAGATCTCCGAGGACCTTGAGGATGGTCAGGATGGACTCCTTGTCAGAGGAGCTCTGCAATGAGAACACAGGCAGCCATATTTAAGAATGCAAGAGGAAGGAGTTGGATGATCAGGGATGTACATGGAATGGCAGAGCTCTACTTCCTGTCATGGAGAAAGATTAACTACAGCGAAAGGACAGGCAAGGGGATTCACTTGGTAAGAGACCCAGGGGCTGTGCCTCCCTCCATATTTAGTCTTCAGAACTCATCTTTGCAGACGTATCTTGTAGTAACATCAGCAAGATGAACAAAAGAATAAGCAATAATGATTTACACAGAAAACAAGGAAGTAAAAGGGGCTTTGTGGGCCAGAGTAGCACAGGTCTGTTATTTCAGTAGGCTTGGCTTATTTTTATTTTTATTTAAGATGAAGTCTTGCTCTGTTGCCCAGGCGGGGGTGCAGTGGTGCGATCTCCACTCACTGCAACTTCCACCTCCCGGGTTCAAGCAGTTCTTCTGCCTCAGCCTGCCAAGTAACTGGGGCTACAGGCATGTGCCACCACCCCTGGCTAGTTTTTTGTGTTTTTAGTAGAGACAAGTTTCCACTGTGTTAGCTAGGATGGTCTCAATCTCCTGACCACGTTATCTGCCTGCCTCGGCCTCCCAAAGGGATTACAGGCATGAGCCACCACACCCGGCCGGCTTATTTTTCAATACAGCACAGAGGCAAGAAACAGAAATCCACTAAAATGTTCTGACGAAAAGACTTCCCTGACTGACAAGAATGAACTCCTCCTTTTCTCAGGAGAATCCCAGGGTGGTGCCAAATCCTATTATGAAAAAACTCTAAAGGATCTCTGCAATGCTTGATACTCTATCCTCTGTTATACAGAAGAGAACCCTGAATTCAGAGACAGTGTGGACTTGCTGAGTCTCCTGAAGTAATACATACAGCAAGGCCAGAAGTACCACTCAGTCCAGTCTCCCAAAATCAGGCCAGCGCTCTTTGCACTGTAAGATATTTGGAGGAGAGGGTATTTTATTTAAGGCAAAGCCTTAATCTTCCATAAGACTCATACTCCTCATCCACTTCAAAGGCCTCAATAATTCCCCATCACATATAGGATAAAGTCATAGCTCATTAATAGAATTTCCAAAGCTCTTTATGATCTTGTCCTTCTTATGTCTTCAGCTTCATTATTCATTACAACACCCTGCCTGAAATAGATGTTTCATCAACACGGAACCCCTTGGAGTTTCCTGCTCAAACCATGCCATTTCATGCCTCTGTAACTTTGATCACACTCTTCCCTCTTCCAGCCGCACTTTTCCTTACCTCTCAGCCTAGTCAATGCCAGCTCATCCTTCAAGTGCACTCCAGCTCCACGAGATCCCATCCAACCCCCAAGCTGGGTCTGGAGTCCCTTCTATCTCCACATCACTCTGGGCTCAGCCCTGACATTGCACTTACCACATGGTGTTGGTATCATGGTATAATCTTGCTTCCCACTCCACCCCCACTAGGTATGAAGATATTTAAAGAAGAAATCAAGTTTTGTGTATATATCTTTCCAGCACCTGGCACAAGGGGTCTTTCATAAAAGGTGGGCAAATATTTGTTGAATGGAACCAAACTGAACCAAAAAGAACTCCAAGGAGGCCATGAAGTCCAACAACATCCCCAAAGGCACATGATGCCTACACTTTCTTCAGTCCCAGCCTTAAGCCTCCCCAGGGTCTTAAAGAGTTAAAATCAGACTTCAAAATCCCAGCCAGGGCCACCTGCTTCAGCACAAAATTTAAGGGGCATTAAAAAAAAAAAAACCCACAGTAATCAAGATAAATATTTTTACAAATCAAAATTAATTAATTGAAAAAATCAACTAATTGATTAACACCTGTGGGCGGGTGTTTGAGAAGTACCCCCCTGAGGGTGAAGAACTTGGCATCTGACTGCGCTATGACTCTGGGAGGGGCACCCACAACATGCACGGGGAATACCAAGACCTGACCACCAGGGGCGCTGTCACCCAGTGCTACCCAGACAGGGGCTCTCCACATCATGTCCCGCCCACCCATTTAGATCATGAAGGTGGAGGAGATTGTCCCCAGCAAGTGCCACCGGCCCACAGTGAAGCAGTTCCACGACTCCAAGAACAAGTTCCCGCTGCCCCACTGGGTCCTGCGTTGTCAATGCAAGTGGTACTTCACCACCAAGAGACCCAACACCTTCTTCTAGGTGCTGGGCCCTCTCACCCAGGTGGGCCCCACTTAAACTAAGGAATGCCCTGGTTTTTAAAAAAAAAAAAAATCAATTAATGTATTTTTTCAATTAATTTTGATTTGTAAATTAATTGATGAACAAGATATCAAAATTTAACTTTCTAACTCCTATTCTGAGAAGGATGAGACCTCTAGGGATCCCTAGATACTTGATGGGATCCCTAGACACTTACCCAGGAGATTGATTGTGTTTTCAGAAGAGACGAGTTTCCACCATGTTAACCAGGATGATCTCGATCTCCTGCCTCAGCCTCCCAAAGGGATTACAGGCATGAGCCACCACACCCGGCTGGCTTATTTTTCAATACAGCACAGAGGCAAGAAACAGAAATCCACTAAAATGTTCTGATGGAAAGACTTCCCTGACTGACAAGAACGAACTCCTCCTTTTCTCAAGAGAATCCCGGGGTGGTGCCAAATCCTATTATGAAAAAACTCTAAGGGATCTCTGCAATGCTTGATACTCTATCTGTATAACAGAGGTGTTATACAGAAGAGAACCCTGAACTCAGAGACAGTGTGGACTTCCTGAGTCTCCTAGGGATCCCTAGACACTTACCCAGGAGAAAGACTTGGGTTTCCTCTAACATCTTCTCCACTGGGAGCTTTGGGCTAACAAGGGCAGTCTTGGCATATGCTTTGCTAATGCCTGTCATCACAGCTGCACTAAATGTTAATAGATGATATCATTCTCTGAAACTCCAAGTCCACACCATCCTCCAGCAACTGTGATATATACGTGTACCAATGTGGGTGCCTCTCCCTCCGTAGTCTATGAAAAACTAGAAATAAGAACCGAGGAGCTGTCCAGCAACTGATCTATTATTTGGGGGAATGTTCAGGACTCTAGCCCTTTGAAAATGGACCCAAAGATGGCTCACAGAAGAAAATGAAGTCTCTGGAATTAGTTTCCTGATCAACATTGACATTTCTGGATAGACCTGTAGCACAGCTCATCTTTCTATGAAGAGGAGGGGCATAAAAGCCTTTGGAAAGGCTGTGCAAATGTTGGGTAAATTTTAAAATGCTGAAGTCATTAGTTGATTATAAATCATGAGCAAGGAAAAGGAAAATAAGAGAGAAAATGAGGAGATGAGAAAAAGAGGAAGGAGAAAAGGGAAAGAAGAAAACTAATAAGGTAAAAACTGATTAAAGGGGAATAAAAGGTCCAGATATAATTTATTTTCATTCAATGATTCATGCATTCATCTCGCAAACATTCACTGGGAATCATCTACATTCCAGCCACCAAGCTGGGCACTGAGGATAAAAATGGATGACAGCACAACCTTCCTTCATAGGGCTCCAGGCCTGGCTGAGATGAACAGCTGGCAGACAGGACCCAAGACAGCAAGGGCTGTGACAAAGGTAAACTGGGAGAAGTAGAGAGAATCCTGGAAAGAAACATTGAACCCAGCCAGATCCATGAATGATAACTCTTGAGAAACCTCTCAGAAGCTAAACAGGGTTGGGCCTGGTTAGTACTTGGATGGGAGACTCTTGAGAAACCAAGTTGAAAGGGGAGAAAAGAATGTTCCCACTGT